>NC_000006.12:2181212-2332727 GCF_000001405.40 Homo sapiens | reverse complement strand
TTTTTTAAAAAAAGAAATTTACCTTGTGTCTATTTGCAGTCTGTTTTTCCCACCTTAAACCCTAATGAACCACTAATCTGCTTTCTGTCACTATAAATTAGTTTAGCTTGCTCTAGAATTTGACACAAATTACATTGCACACTTTTTGCTTTTTTATACTCTTGCGTCTGCCTACTCTTATTCAGCATAACATTTCTGAGAATCATCCATGTTGTTGTATGTATCAGCAATTTGTCCTTATATCTCAATAGTAACTCAAGTTATAAATATACCACAATTCATTTATCCAGTCAACAGCTCATGGACATTTGAATTGTTTCCAGATTTTAGTCATTTTCAATAAGGCTACTATTCATGAATAGTCCCATTCACATAAATGAACAGGCATTTACAAATATTTTTGTAAACATATGTTTTTGTTTCTCTTGGGGATGGAGTTCCTGGGTCAGGTGGTAGGCACAGATTAACTTTACAAAATCTACCAAACTGTTTTCCAAGGTGATTATACCAAGATCAGTTTTAAATAAACTCAAGGCTTAAAAAAAATTGGCCATGCAGGAGACAAGAATTTATGCTGAACATCCATGAGAAGTGCTACATGTTACTGTTTCTCAGGAATAAGGTCCCTGCCCTCCACATCACCTCTGATAAACTTCAGAGCAGCCTTTCTTATAGATACCTGGTGAGAGTTCACTTCTGATTACTTTACCCTTATGGTATAGCCTTTTGAACCCATCTTAACGTGGGGAGTGTTTTCTCCCCTTCTTAGGCAGATCATGGAATTTGCTTTCTGTCATCTTCTAAGGCCATCGAAACCAAAGATCAACCTTCCCAGACCAGCAAATGCCTTTAGAACCCAAGAGGCTTCTGTGCTTTGCTTACCTTCCTGAGCTTTCATTTTCCCTTAGATTTTAGCTGGGGAATTTCTTACATCTTGGCAGCTTTTCAATGATTGCAAAAAAAAAAAATCTTTTCTATTTTTCCCAAAATTGTAGGTCTTTTCAGAAGGAGGGTTGGTTCTAATAACTAAGTCCACAACAATTTGTTCTTTTCTTTCACCTTCTCTGTTATATCAGGAAACTGGTCTGTTTTATATTCTACTCATGTTTCTAAATTGTTTAAACTTTTATAGTTGGAATACATTCCACTTATAATCAGCAAAAATAATAAAGATATTACCAATTTAAAAACATAGTAGTGATTATCTTTAAATTTTTTCTATGAGAAGTATTTTCCCTACTTCCTTTAAAAGGGCAAGCTAAGTTTTTTTTTTTTTTTTTTTTGAGATGGAGTCTCACTCTGTCACCCAGGCTGGAGTACAGTGGAACAATCTTGGCTCACTACAACCTCCACCTCCCAGGTTCAAGCGACTCTCCTGCCTCAGCCTCCCAAGTAGCTGGGATTACAGGTGCACACTGCCATACCCGGCTAATATTTTGTATTTTTAGTAGAGACGAGGTTTCACTGTGTAAAAGGGCAAGCTAAGTTTTGTGTTTTAAAATTGGAGGTGGGATGAGGGGAGCGGTGGGCTTCCTAGGGTAGCATGCACAAGATCAGACAAGTTGTTATGGGTTGAATTGTGACCCCTAAAAAGAAATATTGAAGTCTTAACATCCATATCTTAGAATACACCCTCATTTGGAAATAAAGTACTTGCCAATATAATTAATTAAGATAATACTGGAGTATGGTGCACCCTTCCAATATGACCAGTTTCTTATAGGAAAAGAAAACAGAGGCATGGTGGCTCATGCCTGTAATTCCAACACTTTGGGAGGCTGAGGCAGATGGATCACTTGATGCCAGGAGTTTGAGACCAGCCTAGCCAACATGGTAAAACCCCATCTCTACTAAAAATACAAAAATTAGCTGGATGTGATGGCACATCCCTGAAATCTCAGCTACTCAGGAGGCTGAGAATCACTTGAGCCTGGAAAATGTAGTGAGCCAAGATCACACCACTGCACTCCAGCCTGGGTGACAGAGGGAGACTCTGTCTCAAAACAAAACAAAACAAAACAAAACAAAAAAAGAAAGAAAGAAAAGAAAAGAACACAGAGACAGGGCCAGGAGTGGTGGCTTATGCTTGTAATCCTAGAACTTTGAGAGGTCAAAGTGAGAGGATCACTTGAGACAAAGAGATCAAGGCTGCAGTGAGATATGATTGTGCCACTGCACTCCAGCCTGTGTAACAGAAAAAGACCCTGTCTCGAAACAAACAAACAAACAAACAAACAAACAAAAAAAAACAGAGACAAAGACAGAGACACATAGAGATAATACCACAGGATGTCAACAATTGTGAGACATCACCAGAAGCTAGAAGAAAGGCATGAACCAAATTCTCCATTAGAGCCCTCAGAAGGAACCCACCCTGCCTACATCTTGTTTTGGGCTTGTAGCCTCCAGAACTTTAAAAGAACAAACATCTGCCTTTTACAGCCATCTATTTTGTGGTACTTTGTTCCAGTAGCTATAGCTAACTAACATACTAATAGAGGAAAAAATACTGGATTATTCTAAGCAAGAATTCATTCATTTGAAAGAATAAGAGAAAAGTCCTAATCCCAGTGGCAAACTATGCTGATGTATAGTATAAACTGCTGGTGATGAAAATGGGAACAGCACTTTCCACAGTGCTGCAGGAGGAGGTAGGACCTCTGATGGTGTTGACATGTGAGGCTAGGCACCAAACCCCTACTCTAAAGGTTTAGCTGACACAAAGCAGGGAAATAGCCTAAGCAGCAGAGTTGCTGGTTTTCCAATAGTCACCATGGGCTCAGAAAATAAACCTCTTTGTTGCATCCCTGTGGTATTCTTTAACATGTTCTTCTGTCCCCTGCACTTTTTCTAAACTGGAAATACACTAGAATATTCATTTCAGAGATGGCCATAGATAACAATGCACAAGAACACACCAGCAGACAGATTCAGGAGCTGCAGATGATAGTGAAACGGTTTAATAGACTAAGAACAAGAAAGATTTCATCAAGTTTTCTGGATAGCAATAGCATTACCCCAGCCCCCACTTTGATGAAGTTGGGCAAGAGTAACCTAAATAAACAATAAATTTAATCTCTTTTCAACTAGACACATTAGAGCTCAAAGACAGATTTTATCTCATTTGGAAAATAAATAAAAATAACAGTGTTTACACCCAGTTGCTGTTAAGCAAGTTATTACTTTAATCATATTGGTATGTTAGAGAAAAACACAGAATAAAGTCAATAGAGATCCCCCTATTTAGACCTGGAATTTGACATACTTTTTCTCTCCTATTTCTATCTTTTACCAAGATATTTCTCTCCAATTCTCACACTTACATTAGAAGCCAGGTGCTTTCTATGACAATGGGCTTTTTGGGAGCCTTCCCAAGAGACTTGTTTCCATCTCACCTGTCTCAGAAAGTAATGGGACCCAGCAAACTGTAGAGGCCTGGGAGCTCCTGAGAACAAAAGAGAGACAGGTAGTTTGCTTATATCCCAGAAGACCCACAGTGCAGCAGACAGTGGCTGTCACAGCTCAGTGACCTCTCCATTGTGGGGGAAATGGAGAAAAGAGTGCACCATGTACCCAATGTTCTGTCTTTTCAGGGAGCTGCTCAAGGCACAATCATTAGAGAAAAAAAGAGATTAGGAGTGCCTGAAAAGAAAAACAGAAGATCCTTCTAATTGATAATTCACACATGTAACTCCAGGGAAGACACATACATAAAAAAAAGGTTTAAGAGGAGTAGCTAATTGTGAAGGTCTTTCTCTGTACAAATCTAGTCCACAAAGAGTGGGAGAAGCAGCTGTTTTTTCAAATGCATGGATCCCAACACAAAGTTACAAGGCACATAAAGAAACAGGAAACATTGCCCTATCAAAAACAAAACAAAACAAAACAAAACAAAATAAGTCTCCAGGAACTGACCCTATATAAATGAACGTATGTGAATTACCTAATAAAACATTGAAAAGAAACGTAATAAAGATATTTAAAAAATTCAGGATAATGATGCAAGAACAAAATGAGAATGTTAACAAAGAGATAGAAAATATTAAATAGGACCAAACAATAATTTAGTGACTGAAACATACAATTACTGAATTGAAAAATGTACCAGAGGCCAGGCGTGGTGGCTCATGCTTGTAATCACAGCACTTTGAGAGGCCAAGGCAGGCAGATTACTTGAGACCAGGCGTTCAAAACCAGCCTTGCCAACATGGTGAGACCCTGTCTCTACTAAAAATACAAAAATCAGCCAGGCGTGGTGGCATGTGCCTATAATCCCAGCTACTTGGAGGGTGCAGCATGAGAATCACTTGAACCCAAGAGGCAGAGGTTGCAGTGAGCCAAGATCCTGCCACTGCACTGCAGCCTGGGTGACAGAGCAAGACTCTGTCAAAAAGAAAGAAGGAAAGGAAGAAAGGAAGGAAGGACGAAGGAAGGAAGGAAGGAAGGAAAGAAGGGAGGAAGGGAGGGAGGGAGGGAAAGAGAAAGAGAAAGAGAAAGAGAAAGAAAGAAGGATGTACCAGAGAGTTTCAACAGTAGACTTGGTCAAATGGAAGAATTAATTAGAAAATTCAAAAACAGGTCATTTGAAATTACCCAGTGAGAGGAGAGAAAAAAAAGAATGAAAAAGAGTAAATAAAACATAAGGGACGTATAAGCCACTGTCAAGTGGGCCAATGGACACATAATGTAAGTCTCAGAAGAAGAAGGGGGAAGGCAGAGAGAAAGAAACAGAAAGTTTTTTTGAAGAAATAATGGTCTAACACCTCCAAAATCTAGGGAAAGAAATGGACACCCAGATTTGAGAAGTTCAAATATCTCTAACTAGATAAACTGATGAAGTGCAAACCACAACACTTTATGATCAAATTGGCAAAGGTCAAAGACAAAGACAACTTTGAAAGCAGCAAGAGAAGAGCAAGTAATTACATACTAGGGAGCTTCCATAAGACAATCAGCAGATTTCTCAGCAGAAACTTTGTAGGCTGAGGGAATGGAAATTCAAATTCTTAAAAAAAAAAAAAAAAAAAGCTGCCAATCCAGAATGCTATTACCTAGAAAAACTATCCTTCAAAAATGAAGAAATAAAGACTTTTCCAAATAAACAAAATCTAAAGAAGTTTATTACTACTAGACCTGCCTTATAAGTGTATAACTATAAAATATGTTAATGGGTACACATTAAAAATAGAACTCATGATATCAATTACAGTTTACACAAATGTAATGATTTGTGTAACTGATGATGAGGAGTAACAATTACATCAAATACATATTACATCAAATATGTAATCTGTGACAGTAAGTAGAGGGGAAAAGTAAAAGAGCAGTTTTTTATGTGATTAAAATTGAGTTGTTATAAGCTTTAAATAGACTGTTATAACTATAACATGTTTTATGTAAATCCAATGGTAACAACAAGGAAAATATTTGGCTGGGCGTGGTGGCTCATGCCTGTAATCCCAACACTTTGAGAGGCCAAGGTGGGCAGATCACCTGAGGTCGGGAGTTTGAGACCAGCCTGACCAACTGGAGAAACCCTACCTCCACTAAAAAAAAATACAAAATTAGCTGAGTGTGGTGGCACATGCCTGTAATCCCAGCTACTTGGGAGGCTGAGGCAGGAGAATCGCTTGAGCCCAGGAGGCAGATGTTGCGGTGAGCTGAGATCGTGCCATTGCACTCCAGCCTGGGCAACGAGAGCAAAATTCCATCTCAAAAAAAAAAAAAATATATATATATATATATATATATATGACAAATATATATATATATATATATATATATATATATATATGACACACAGAAAATTAGAAATGACTCAAAGTATGTAACTGAGAAGTTCAACAAAACACAAAGGAAAATGGCAAGAGAGGAAAAGTGACAAAAAGCTCCAAGACAGAAAACAATCAACAAAATGGCAATAGTAAGTCCTTCCCTATTAGTAATTCTTTAAAGGTTAAAGGATTAAACTCCCACATCACATGACATAGAGTGGCTAAGTGGATTTTAAGAAAAAAATAAGATTTAACTGTATCATGTCTATGACTCTGTCAATTACATAAAAAGAGACTCACTCTAGATATCAGATATAGTGTCTAAGTGAAAGGATGAAGATATTTCACACAAATGGTAACCAAAAAGAACAGGGTGACCACACCTATATCTGATAAAAGAGCCTATAAGTCAAATTGGTCACAAGAGACAAAGAAGGTCACTATATAATGATAATAGGGTCAGTTTGCCAAGGATATATAACAATAATAAATATATATGGACCCAACACATAAAACAAACATTGACAGAACTGAAGGGAGAAATAGATAGCAACACAATAATAGTAGGAGATTCCAATACCCCACAGTCAAGAATGAATAGACCATTATCCAAACAGAAGATCAATAACAAAACAGGATTTGTGAAACCCTATTATTGATCCATTCTTGTATTGCTTATAAAGAACTACCTGAGACTAAGTAATTTATAAAGAAAAGAGGTTTAATTGACTTACAGTTCTGCACGTTGCACAGGAAGCATGGCTGGGGAGGCCTCAGGAAACTTACAATCATGGCAGAAGGTGAAAAGGAAGGAGGCATGTCTTACATGGATAGAACAGGAAGAAGAGAGCTGGGGGAGGTGCTACACACTTTTAAACAACCAGATCTAGTGAGAACTCACTCACTATCATAAGAATAGCAAGGAGGAAATCTGCTCCCATGATCCAATCATCTCCCACCAGGCCCCATCCTCCAACACTGGGAATCACAGTTCGACATGAGATTTGGGCAGGGAGACTAATCCAAACCATATTATTCCACCCCAGCCCCTCCCAAATCTCATGTCCTTCTTACATTTCAAAACCAATCATGCCTTCCCAACAGTTCCCTCAAAGTCTTAATTCATTCCAGCATTAACTCAAAAGTCCACAGTCCAAAGACTCATCTGAGACAAAGCAAGTTGATTCCACCCATGAGCCTGTAGAATCGAAAACAATTGGTTACTTCCAAAATATAATGGGGGTATAAGCACTGGTTAAATACTCCCATTCCAAAAGGGAGAAATCAGCCAAAACAAAGGGGCTACAGGCCCCATGCAAGTCCAAAACCCAGAAGGGCAGTTGTTAAATCTTAAAGCTCCAAAATATTCTCCTTTGACTCCATGTCTCACATCCAAGAAACACTGATGCCAAAGGTGGTCTCCCAAGGCCTTGGACATCTCTGTCCCAGTGGCTGTGTAGGATGCAGCCCCCTTGGCTGCTTTCATGTGCTGGCATTGAGTGCCTGTGGCTCTTCCAGGTGAATGGTGCATTCTGGGGTCTCGGGGCCAGTGGCCCTCTTCTCACAGCTCCACTAGGCAGTGCCCCATTGGGGACCCTGTATGGTGATTCCAGCCTCACAATTCCCCTCTGCACTGCCCTAGTAGAGGTTTTCCATGATGGCTATGCCCCAAAGAAGACATCTGCCTGGACATCCAGGTGGTTCCATACACCCTCTGAAATCTAGGTGAAAACTCCCAAGCATCAACAATTACCCTCTGGGCACCTGCAGGCTTAACACCACATGGAAGCCACCAAGGCTTATGGTTTGCACCCTCTGGAACAGCAGCCTGAGACATATCTGGGGCCCTTTTAGCCACAACTGGAGCTGGAGCAGCTAGGACACAGGGAGCAGTGTCCCAAGGTTGTGCCTGGCAGCAGGGCCCTGGACCTGGCCTGCAAGACCATTCTTCCTTCCTAGGCCTCTGGGCCTGTTACAGGAGGGGCTGCTGCAAAGGTCTCTGAAATGCCTTCGAGGCACTTTCCCCATTGTCTTGGCTGTTAACATTCAGCTCTTCTTTACTTATGCAAAGTTCTGCAGTCAGCTTGAATTCCTCCCCAGAAAATGGATTTGTCTTTTCTACTACATGGCCAGACTTCAAATTTTCCAAACTGTTACCCTCTGCTCCCCTTTCAAATATAAGTTCCAGTTTCAGGTCATTTGTTTGCTCACAAATATAAGCATAGGCTGCTAGAAGCAGCCAGACCACATCTTGAACATTTTGCTGCTTAGAAATTTCTTCTGCCAGATACCATAAATCATCAATCTCAAGTTCAACATTCCACAGATCTCTAGTGCAGGAGCACAATGCCTCCAACCTCTTTGCTAATGATTAACAATTGACCTTTGCTCCAGTTCCCAATAAGTTCCTCATCTCCATCTGAGACCTCCTCAGCCTGGACCTCGTTAACCATATCACCAACAGCATTTTGGTCACAACAATTTAACAAGTCTCTAGAAAGTTTCAAACTTTCCCTCATCTTCCTGTCTTCTTCTAAGCCATCCAAACTGTTCCAGTCTCTGCCCTTTACCCAGTTCTGAAACTGCTTCCACATTTTCAGGTACCTTTATAGCAATACCCCACTCTTGGTACCAATTTTCTGCATTAGTCCATTCTCACATTGCTATAAAAAATGCCTGAGACTGGGTAATTTATAAAGAAAAGGGGTTTAACTGACTCACAGTTCCACAGGCTGTACATAAAGCATGGCTGGGGAGGCCTCAGGAAACTTACAATCATGGCAGAAGGTGAAAAGAAAGGAGGCACATCTTAATGGCTGGAACAGGAAGAAGAGAAAGTAGGGGGAGGTGCTATACACTTTTAAACAACCAAATCTAGTGAGAACTCACCCACTATCACAAGAACAGCAAGGGGGAATTCTGCCCCTATGATCCAGTCACCTCCCATTAGGCCCCCTCATCCAACATTGGAATTACAATTCAACATGAGATTTTGGCAGGGACACAACTCCAAATGATATCACCTACAGACCAAATGAACCTAAGAAACATGTACTGTATTATCCATCCAGCTGGTATAGAATATACATTTTTCTCAAGTGCACATAAAACATCATCCAGGATAAAACATATGTTAGGTTAAAAAATAAATCTTAGCAAATTTATGATGATTGAAATCATACCAAGTATCTTTTCTGGCCACAATGTGATAAAACTAGAAAGCAGTAACAATAGAAAAACTGCAAAATTCACAAATATTTAGAAATTAAACAACACACTCTTGAACTACCTGTGGGTCCAAAAGAAATCAGAAGGTAAATTAGGAAATATCTTGAGACAAATGAAAATAGAAACACAATATACCAAAACTCATGGGATGCAGTAAAAGCAGTACTAAGAAGAAAGTTTATAGTGTAAACTTTATGTATAAAAATATACATATATCTCAAATTAGTAATCTAACCTCAAGGAACTAGAAAAAGAACAAACTAAGTCCAAAGTTACAGAAGGAAAAAAACAATAAGATTAGAGCAGAAATAAATGAAATAGAGAATAGAAAAACAGTAAAAAAAAAAAAAATAAATGTAAAGATTCTTTCTTGAAGAGATCAATAAAATTGACAAACCTTTAGTTATATTAAGAAAAAATCCAGGGGCCAGGCATGGTGGCTGACACTTGTAATCCCTGCACTTTGGGAGGCCGAGGTGGGTGGATCACCTGAGGTCAGGAGTTTGAGACCAGCCTGACCAACATGGCGAAACCTCATCTCTACTAAAAATACAAAATTAGTCAGGCATGGTAGTGTGCAGCTGTAATCCCAGCTATTTGGGAGGCTGAGGCAGGAGAATCACTTGAACCCTGGAGATGGAAGTTCCAGTGAGCCAAGATCACACCACTGCACTCCAGCCTGGGTGACAAAGTGAGACTCCGTCTCAAAAAAAAAAAAAAAAAAAAAAAAAGAAAAAGAAAAAGAAAAAAAGGAAAAATGCAGAAGACTCAAATAAAATCAGAAATGAAAGAGGAAACATTAAAAAAGATAACACAGAAATAAAAAGTATTACAGAACACTAGTATGAACAATTATACATCAACACATCGGTAACCTAGAATAAACGAATAAATTCCTAGAAACATACAACCTACCAAGTCCGAACCATGATAAATAGAAAATCTGAACAGACCTAAAACTAGTAAAATGATAGAATCACAATCAAACACCTCCCAACAATGAAGAGCCCATGACCAGATAGCTTCACTAGTTAATTCCATCAAAATTTAAATAATTAATGCCAAATCCTTCTTAAACTCTTCCAAAAAAAGTGAAGAGAAGGGAATATTTTCAAACTCATTTTATGAAGCCAACATTTCCCCGATACCAAAGGCAGACAAAGAGGCTACAAGAAAAAAAATTCAAGACCAATCTGAATAGAGATGCAAAAATTGTCACCTAGCAAACCAAATTTAGCAGTACATTAATGGCACTATATACCATAGCAAAGTGAAATTTTTCCTGGAATGAAAGGACAGTTCAACATACAAAAATCAATCATAATGACATACCACATTAACATAACAAAGAATAAAAATGACATGGTGATTTCCATAGATGCAGAAAGAGCATTTGAGAATGTTCAACACTCTTTCATGACAAAAACACTCAACAAACTAGGAATAGAAGGAAATTACTTTCCAATAACAAAGGAAATGAAAAGTCCATAGCTAATATCATACTCGATAGCTAAAAGCTAAAAGCTTTTTCTCAAGATCAGGTAAAAGGCAAGGATACCTACTGTCACTACTTTTATTCAACATAGTTCTAGAAGTCGTAGCTAGAGCAATTAGGCAAGATAAAAAATAAAAGTCATCCAAATCTGAAAGGAAGAAGTCACATTATCTTTGTTCACAGATGTCATAATGTTATAAGTAGAAAACCAAAACAATGCCACACAAAAACTGTTAGAATTGAAAAATTAACTCAGCAAAGTTTCAGGATAAAACTACCTAAATCCAAGTTGTGGGATTAAGATACAAAAATCAGTCACATTTCTATACACTACAAAAAATCAAAGCAAACATAAATTAAGAAAACAATCTCATTTACAATGGCATTCAAAAGAGTAAAATACTAAAGAATAAGTTCAAACAAGGAGGTGAAGACTTATGCCCTGAAAACTATAGACTATTGATTAAAAAAATTAAAGAAGGCATAAATAAATGAAAAGACACCATATGTACATGGAATG
The DNA here is from genome assembly GCF_000001405.40 of Homo sapiens. Classification (NCBI taxonomy): domain Eukaryota; kingdom Metazoa; phylum Chordata; class Mammalia; order Primates; family Hominidae; genus Homo; species Homo sapiens. The sequence continues at coordinate 2,321,710 of NC_000006.12, read as the reverse complement.
TACTTAACATTGTTAAGATGTCCACATTACCCAAAGTGACCTACAGATTCAAAGTAATCCTTATAAAAATACCAGTCACATTTTTTGGCAGAAGTAGAAAAAGAATCCTAAAATGTATATGGAACCATAAAATTTAGACAAACAATAGCTGAACCCAAATAGACAAAGCAATCTTGAGAAACAACAAAGCTGGAGGCCTTACACTTTCTGACTTCAAAACATGTAAAGCTACATTAATCAAAACAGTATGATACTGTGAAACAGACCAATGGAACCGAATAGAGAGCCCAAAATTAACCATCTATATACATTCAACAAATTTTTGACAAGAGCACCAAGAAGACAAAATGAAGAAAAGAGAGTCTCTTCAATAAGTGGTGTTGGGATAACCAAATATCCACGTGCAAAAGAATGAAATTGGACCCTTTTCTTGCACCACACATCTGGTTTAGGAGGTAAACATCGTTAGGGAGATGTGATTGTGCTTACTACAAACTGCTTGGTATGTTTGACTTTGGAGCCATGTGAATTTCCTACCTTATTGTAAAACAAAAGATAATTTTTTAAAAGACATCTACAAATTGAGAATAAAACATAACAAATTAACTTAATTGTATACTTAGTTGGAGGCATAAACATAGAGGCTAACTATTCCAAGTGAGTTTAAAACACAGTGATATCATTGCAGCACAAAAGAGATGAAAAACAAAAAGATCAAAACTATTTTCAGTAATCATATTGTTGGTTGCATTTAGTACTGTTATTCTGAAACTATTGCATGTTGTGTGGGTTAAAGGAAATAAACAATTATGTAATACGCTAATTGTATTTACCAGTAACCTTAAGAATTGTGGTTCATATCTGGGAAAAAGGAGATATAGATATAAACCAGAAAATAAGATATTGCATGGATTTATTGGCCAATATCATTTCTTCAGACTAAGGAACACACTGTACAGCCTGTAATGTCCAGCAATAGGCAGAGAGATATTCTCCTTAGAGTAATGGTTTGATAGGGAAGTAGAACAGGCAATTAAAACATTGATTTAAAACCACTATTTAAAAGCATAAAGATTGGATTACACACCTTCATGACTGTGTGCTCACACTCAACACTAGTGGAACTAAAGGATCTAAAATTCTCCATTTTTCTGGTGCATCTGAGGAAGAGGGATTGGAGAGTATGCAGGTATGACTATGCGATTCTTGCCAAGGGGGGAATATGCTGGTATAATGATCCTACTTTTTTCCTTTTCTCCATGTATTACCTCAACTTTTATCTCCCTACCTGATGCAGTGGTCACAGGACCAGGGCTACGACTACAAGTGCTGGAAGTAGGTATAATTCCTAAGAAATCTTATGCTAGAATTCCTAAGGGCCTGATAGAAGTGGGTTGTACTTCACTCCATCTAGCATAATTGGGGTTAGCAGTAAATGCAACTATATGGCCTGGTGGTAAAAACAGTGTTAGCAACAGAAGGCACAGAAATTCTAGACAAATGGGGTAGGTCTCTGGCAAAACCCCACCTTCGAGACAAAAAGCCTGAAACCCACGGCCCAAAGTGAGAACTTCCATTTCTGTTAGCCCACTCTCTCCTGATTGGTTCTGAGTAATGTCTTTTTACCAATTGAATGTTGCCTTTTCCAAAACTACCTACAGCCCCCTTGATCCCATCCTGTGCCTATAAAGAACCCATACTCAGCTGACAGAGAGAAGAAGTGGCTGGACATCAGAAGAAGCAGCTGGACACTGGGGAGAGGCAACTTCGACTTCAGAGATGGTGGCTGGATGAGGCAACTTAACTTTGGAAGAGAGAGGTAGAGAGGCAGCTTGACTTCAGGGGACAGCGACCTGCCCTTCCCATCCTCTTTCCAGCTCCCCTCTCCTCTGAGAGCCACTTTCATTACTCAATAAAATGCTCCACATTCACCATCCTTCAATTCGTCTGCGGGACCTTATTCCTCTTGGGCACCAGATAAGAATTTGGGACTCACCAGGTGCAGGTACCCAAAAAGGCTGTCACACTGGCCCTTTGCCCTTGCTGGTGGAGGGCAGCCACCCCACAAAATGAGGCAAAGGGCCCACTGAGCTGATAACACACTGCTGTCTTCAGACAATGGAGCTAAGAGAGCATTGTAACACGCCCTCTGGGGCCTTGGGGTCGCAGCCACCTCCAGCTAGATGCTGCCATGGGGCCTGCACAGAGTTCACTCCTGCTGGCACTAAAGCAGCTGGTTTCTGCACTTGCTCACCTGCATGCGTCCTCCCATGAGGGGTGAAGCACAGCAGACCCAAGCAAGTGGAATTTGCTTTTGCTGGCACCACAGAAGCCAGTCAGTTCCTGTGCCCGTTTGCTCACAGGCTCCCTCCCACAAGGGGTTGAATGGGGTAGGCTAAGTAAACGAGACACCCTGCCATTAATCCAACAAAGGGGTCATGAAAATATCCTGCATCATCATCCACAGTTTTGCACCTGTTTCACCTTATCCTATGTCAATGGGAATGAACTGAAGGGAAGGAACTTGCTGCTAGACTAGTATTGTTGCCTGCAGTGTAGACAAGCACAGTAGCTGAACCTAATGTCTCTTCCAGAGGTGGAAAAGTTTGGGTATAAATGAAGAGAAGGAAGAATAGTAGCTGAGGGTAAAAGAATGAACAAATGGATTACAAATTGAGAGAAACCTAGTATTACATTAATACCTTGAAAGATGACATCCTGGACATCCTGTCTTAGCTCAATTATGTCAGCTGCCTGAAAGGGTGAAGCATGTGTTGGCCAAGACTCCTCCTGCTTTTGGAAGCTGACAAGATTAGATGGAAACCTGTAAATCTGAGTGGCTTCACCCTGGAAGACAGTCACACGAGATGATGGACTGGAGTAATTATTAATGACTGAATGGGATGCTAGCAATATGGCAGTATCTTTTCAATTGTATGTCCTTTTGATATAAGGTATTTGGGTTCAAAGATCAGGGTGGATTGTGATATTCTAAAATATATATTTGGCCTTCATCTTGGTTTTCTGGCATACAACTCCTAAAATCCTTGGAATCCTCAAGGTAATTCCTCTTTTAGTATGCTAATGAGTTCACTGATGCCTGGCAGCCCCCAGGTAGCTTCAGAATGACGGGCTGGTCCCCAGAAAGATCAAGGCAGGATTAGAGGGTTTCTACTTTCAGCACCCCCTATCTTTCAGAGGGGAGAGGGACTAAAGGTTGAGTTGATCACCAATGGCCAATGATTTACTCAATCATGCCTGCATAATGAAGCCTCCATAAAAACCCAAAAGGACTGGCTTCAGGGAGCTTCCTTCTGGACACCTAAAAACGTGGAGGTTCCTGGAGAGTGATGCACTCAAGGAAGGCATGGAAGCTCCATGCCCCTTCCCATAATTCACCCTATACATCTCTTCATCTGTATCCTTTGCAATATCCTTCATGATAAACCAGTAAACATGTTTCCCTGAGTTCTGTGAGCTGCCCTACCAAACTAAGCGAACCTAAAGAGGAAGTCATAGGATGCTGATTTATAGCCAGTTGGTCAGAAGCACAGGTTAAACAAACAAACAAACAAACAAAAACCTGGGTTTGCAACTGGCATTGGAAGTAAGGGAGACCACCCCTCATATTGTCTTATGCCTAATTTCTGCCTCCAAAGAAAGAAGTAAAAACTAAAAGGCAGAAATGAAATCCACAAGCAGACAGCCCGGCACCACACCCTGTGTCTGGTAGTTAAAGATCAACCCCTGACTTAATCGGTTATGTTATCTATAGATTACAGACACTGTATAGAAAAGCATTGTGAAAATACCTGTCCTGTTCTGTCCTTTTCTAATTACCGGTGCATGCAGCCCCCAGTCACATACCCCCTGCTTGCTCAATCGATCATGACCCTCTCACGAGGACCCCCTTAAAGTTGTGAGCCCTTAAAAGGGACAGGAATTGCTCATGTGGGGAGCTTGGTTGTTGGACACGTGAGTCTTGCTGAAGCTCCCAGCCGAATAAAGCCTTTCCTTCTTTAACTCGGTGTCTGAGGGGTTTTGTCTGTGGCTTGTCCTGCTACATTTTTTGGTTCCCTGACCGGGAAGCAAGGTGATTAACGGACGGTCGAGGCAGTCCCTTAGGTGGCTTAGGCCTGCCCTGTGGAGCATCCCTGCAGGGGACTCCGGCCAGCTTGAGTGACACAGATCCTGAGAGCACTCCTGGGTATGCAATTGCCCTAGTGGAATGCCTCACCAGAGCAGTGCATGGCAGGCCCCCGTGGAGGATCAACGCAGTGGCTGAACACCGGGAAGGAACTGGCACTTGGAGTCCGGACATCTGAAACTTGGTAAGACTGGTCTTTGGAACTTGCCCATTCCATTTGAGTGGAAGCATGGCCTGATCACCCACGACGTGCCTGTACCAGCACTTTGGTTTTTGTTTTTGACTTGACTTGGATTGCTTGATACTTTGGTTTTGGTTTTGACCTGGCTTGGATTTCCTGATACTCTGATTTTGGTTTTGATTCTGGTTTGGTGTAAACTGTAAAAGTGTGTGTGTGCCCTTTTTACCTGTTCTTTGTGGTGTGCGTGTGGTGTGAGCATGGTGTTTTGTCTCAAAGAAGCATGGGTCAGGCACAAAGTAAGCCCACCCCACTAGGAAATATGTTCAGAAATTTCAAGAAAGGATTTAAGGGAGACTATGGAGTACTATGACACCAGGAAAACTTAAAACTTTGTGTAAGATAGACTGGCCAGCATTAGAGGTGGGTTGGCCATCAGAAGGAAGCCTGGACAGGTCCCTTGTTTCAAAGGTATGGCACAAAGTAACCTGTAAGCCAAGCCACCCAGACCAGTTCCCATATATAGACACTTGGTTATAGCTGGTTTTAGACCCACCCTCCACACACACACACAGTGGTTGAGAGAACAGCAACATAGGTGGTTGGCAGAGGCAAGGAAAGACCAGCAGAGAGAGAGAGAGAGAGAGAGAGAGAAAGAGAGAGGCAGAGAGAGAAACAGACAGATGCAAAAGTAAAGTCAAAGAGAAAAAGAGACAGAAAATCAAAGAGAGAAAGAAAGAAAGACAGAGATATGCAAGCAGTTAAGAAAAAAAACAGTGTATACTATTCCTTTAAAAGCCAAGGTAAATTAAGAACCTATAATTGAAGGTATTCTCCTTACCCTATAACACTCCAATACCACTTTGTTGTCAGTGTAAACAAGGGCGTATCCCGAAAGCACTGAGGCCTTCCTATCAAAAGTCCTTAACCCAGTAACCTGCAGATGGCCCAAATGCATTCAATCTGTAGCAGCAACTGCTTTGCTAACAGAAAAAAGTAAAAAAATAACTTTTAGAGGAAACCTCATTGTGAGCACACCTCACCAGTTCAGAAGTATCCTAACGAAAAAAAAAAAAAAGGATGATTTAACATTAACCACTGAAAATTCCCTTAACCCAGCAGGTTTCCTAATAGGGGATCTAAATCTAAATTACCATACAAAGGACCAACCAGACCTAGGAGGAACTCCCTTCAGGACAGGAGGATCGATGGTTCCTCCCAGGTAATTGAAGGGAAAAAAAAAATGCCATCTATACCAATTCTAAGTTAATTTGGACAAAACAAGGCCTTATTAATGGCAAAGGATAATTGAAGTCCCAAACTTACAAGGGTTTCAACAGAAGTAAAGTTTGCTAAAAGTTAACAGTGTAATATGTATTATAGTAACTTCTAATCTTGTGGCCTTAGACAGTCTAGTCCACAGACATAAAAGAAGTTTGCTTTGGAAAAGAATGGTTATCATCTCGAAAAACAAAAGGGAAAAAAAGGGGGGGGCAGAATTTATGTAAAAAGAGTGTTATATGGTAAATTCTTGTCCTGAATTAACTGGTTGTTTAAAGACAGAAATGTTTGTAATAAGTCAGAATGTTGAGGCATGTCGAAGAATTGTCTACAAAAGTCATGAAAGAGAAAAATGTTATAAAAAAAGAATTTATGCAAGAAATGTTGTATAATTTAAAAGTTACTAGGCCTCCTGAATGTAAAACTATTAAAAAAAAAAGTTTATGTGCAAGGTGTATAAGGAAAGTAAAATATACCTTTGATAAAAGGATTATAAGGAGGCATAAGAATGCAAATTTTTATCTACACTAAAAGGTTAAAAAATTTTTGTTTTGAAGGTTTAAGCAAGTTTTAAAATGTTAATTATATAAAAAAATTCTGTGTGTAAACATATTAGCTAAAGTTAAACGAGTATCATCCAGTTTTTCTGTGAACTGGACATTAAAGTGAAAACACAATGGGTTTTTCTTAAAGCACTAACCTGCTCTTTAACAGAGATTATAAAAGGTTAAAAAGAATCTATAAAAATCTTACCTTATGGTCTGACATTAAAAATTGAATAAGTATGTATACAAAGTTTTATTAAAACTAAGTTTAACATTAAATATAAAGGTGAAATTTAGCTTATCTGGTATAAAAAAATCATACAAGAAGCATTATTAAATATAAAATGGTGTTTGGCTTTCTTTGTCTAAAAACTAATAAAAATAGATGCTAAAGGAAATTTCTCAGCAAGAAGGCACCAAAGACCAAAGTCCACTGTTGATGTCCCCACATTTAAAAGAAAAAGTCAGTTTCTTAGAAATTATATACTTGGTTTATCTTCCACTTTCCTTTCCCTCAAAACTAAAAGTCTTTTAGTACAAGTACCACCCCTAGAATTTCCAGTAAACCAGCACCAGCCTGAAGATCACCTTCCTATCAAAGGGTGGAAAGAAGAAAAACTCAAGCCAGCCTGGGAAGGACCCTATCTTGTGCTGCTACCACCAAGACTGCTGTTCGTACAGCGGAAAAGGGATGGACTCATCACACCAGAGTCAAAGCGCCACCCCCTCCAGAGTCGTGGGCCACAGTCCCAGGGGAAAACCCTGCCAAACTAACACTAAGAAAAATTTAACTCTTTCGTCATTCTATTACTTTCTTCTTTCCTCGCTCTATTGCTGACCATCTGGTTATTAACATAAGCAAGTCGATTTTGCCTCAAACTATTGCATTTAATGCTTGCCTTGTTATACCCTGTGGGGACTTGCCAAGTGAAAGACAGCTCTCTACTTCAGAAAACTACCTCTTTCCTTCCTGACTCTCCTCAGACTGGGCATTAGTAAATTAGGACCACTTAATCCAGGGAAATTTTGATAAAGACTCCAGTGTCAACCAGGAGTGTTGCTCCCCAATGTAGAGCTTTTATGCCGTAGTTGGTCCAACATTCTGTGGACCACTAAAGAGAAAGGATGGACTGCCCCAACCAATTTTTGTAATTTCCCAAAATCACACATTCATTTTACTAGACGATCATGGAAGTTAAAGACTTAAAACAAACTTTGGCAATTAAGACAGCATACCAAGATGCAAATGCCTCGTTGGAATGGATCAAATATTCCACCTGCACGTTAAACAAAAGCAATTGTTATGCTTGTGCACATGGCAGGCCAGAGGCCCAGATTGTCCCCTTTCCACTAAGGTGGTCCTCCAGTCGACCAGGCATGGGCTGCATGGTAGCTCTTTTCCAGGATTCTACAGCCTGGAGTAATAAGTCGTGCCAAGCTCTCTTGCTATATCCCAAAGTCCAGCACCCTGTGGGTCAGCCCCTGAGGGCCATCCAGCCTCCATTTCCCAACACTAAGTTCACTTCGTGTCTCTCATGACAGGGAGGAAACTTAGCATCCCTTGGAGACCTGAAAGGATGCGGTGAGCTTAAAAATTTTCAAGAGCTTATCAATCAGTCAGCCCTTGTTCATCCCCGAGCAGATGTGTGGTGGTATTGTGGTGGATCTTTACTGGGCACTCTGCCGAATAACTGGAGTGGCTCTTGTACTTTAGTCCAATTGGCTATCCCTTTCACCCTGGCATTTTATCAACCAGAGGGAGGAAAATAAGACATTGTAAAGCGAGAGGAGCCCCTTATGGGTCTTTCGACTCTCACATCCATTTAGACACAATTGGAGTCCCATGGAGAATACCAGATCAATTTAAAGCTTGAAATCAAATAGCTGCAGGATTTGAGTCAATATTTTGGTAGGTGACACTTAATAAAAATGTAAATTGGATAAACTACATCTATTACAACCAACAGCAATGAGCTTTTCATGAGTTAAAAGAAATCATGTCGGCCCCAGCCTTGGGGCTACCTGACCTGATAAAACCTTTTATACCCTATGTGTCAGAAAGAGAAAAAATGGCAGTTGGAGTTTTAACCCAGACTATAGGTCCCTGGCTAAGGCCAGTGGCCTATCTCTCAAAACAACTAAATGGAATTTCCAAAGCCTGGCCCCCATGTCTAAGGGCCCTGGCAGCAATGGCCCTGTTAGCGCAAGAAGCAGATAAACTAACCCTTGGGTAAAACCTGAATATAAAGACCCCCCATGCTGTGGTAACTTTAATGATTACCAAAGGACATCATTGTTAACAAATGCCAGATTAACCAAGTACCAAAGCTTGCTATGTGAAAATCCCCACATAATCATTGAAGTTTGCAACACCCTAAACCCTGCCACCTTGCTCCCGGTATCAGAGAGCCCAGTTGAACATAACTATGTAGAGTTGTTGGACTCAGTTTATTTTAGTGGGCCCAACCTCCGAAACCATCCTTGAACATCAGTAGACTGTGAGCTGTACATGGACAGAAGCAGCTTCGCCAGCCCCTGCAAAGTGACTCTGAAGAAGATGACAAGCCCTGCTCCAGTCATACCCAGAAGTTGATGCATGGCCGAAGCATGAGAAAACTCATCGCGGGACTCATTTTCCTTAAAATTTGGACTTGTACAGTAAGGACTTTAAATGACCTTCCTCAGACTGAGCACTGTTCCCAGTGTATACATCAAGTCACTGAGGTAGGACAAAAAGTTGCTACAGTCCTATTATTTTATGATTATTACAAGTGTACTGGGACTCTAAAAAGAAACATATTTGTATAATGCTATTCTATGCAAGGTATGTAGCCCAGGAAATCACCAACCTGATGTGTGTTATGACCCATCTGAGCCTCCAATGACCACAGTTTTTGAAATAAGATTAAGGACTGAGGAATGGTGGGGGCTCATAAATCATACGAGTAAAGTGTTAGCCAAAACAAAAGTAAAAGGGGTGCCCAAACAAGTCACCTTGAAGTTTGATGCCTGTGCTGTCATTAATAGTAATAAGTTAGGAATAGGATGTAGTTCTCTTAATTAGGAAAGAGGCTATATGGCAGAAAATAATTACATTTTTCATGAATTAGGACTGTGTGGAAATGAATGTAGATACTAGTCTTGTGTCATTTAGGCTACTTGGATAAATAATAAAAAGGATCCTGTCCACCTTCAGAAAGGGAAAAGTGGCCTTTCCTGTACCAGTGGTCAGTGTAAACCCTTAGAACTAGTAATAACCAACCCCTTTGATCCTCGCTGGAAAAAAGGGGAGCATGTAACCCTAGAAATCGATGAGGCTGGACTGGATCCTCGAGTAAATATCGTGGTTTGAGGAGAAGTTTATAAATGCTCTCCTGAGCCAGTATTTCACAACTTCTATGATAAACTGAATGTACCAGTACCAGAAATCCCAGGAAAAACAAGAAATTTGTCTTTGCAATTAGTTGAGCATGTGGCCCAGTCTCTCAATGTCACTTCATGTTATGTATGTAGAGGAACTGTAATAGGAGATCAATGGCCACGGGAAGCCCGAGAATTAGTACCTACAGACCCAGTTCCTGATTAATTCCCGGCTCAAAAGAATCATGCTGATAACTTCTGGGTCCTAAAAGCCTCAATCATTGACAATACTGTATAGCAAGAGTGGGGAAGGACTTCACCTTTCCTGTGGGAAGACTCAGCTGCCTTGGGCAAAAACTGTATAATACTACTACAAAAACAGCCACCTGCTGGAGTTCAAACCACACAAAGAAAAATCCATTTAGTAAATTCCCAAAGTTGCAAACCGTGTGAACCCACTTGGAGTCCCACCGGGACTGGACAGCCCCCACTGGATTATACTGGATATGCGGGCATAAAGCTTACATCAAATTACCTGACTAGTGGGCAGGTAGTTGTGTGATTGGCACTATTAAACCATCTTTATTCCTACTGCCCATAAAGACAGGTGAACTCCTGGCCTTCCCTGTCTGTGCTTCCTGCAAAAAGAGAAGCATAGCTATAGAAAATTAAAAAGATGATGAATGGCCTCCTGAGAGAATCATACAATATTATAGGCCTGGTACTTGGGCACAAGACAGCTCATGGGGATACCCGAACCCCATTTACATGCTCACCAAATCATACCGTTACAAGCAGTCTTAGAAATAATTACTAATAAGACCGGCAGAGCCTTGACTATTCTGGCCTGGAAAGAAACTCAGATGATAAATGCTATCTATCAAAATAGATTGGCTCTCAACTACTTCCTAGCAGCTGAAGGAGGGGTCTGTAGAAAATTTAACCTTACTAATTGCTGTCTACACATAGATGATCAAGGGCAAGTAGTTGAAGACATAGTTATTAGAAATATGACAAAACTGGCACATGTGCCCGTGCAAGTGTGGCATGGATTTGATCCTGGGGCCATGTTTGGAAAATGGTTCCCAGTCCTAAAAATATTTAAAACTCTTATAATAGGAGTTATAACAGTAATAGAAACCTGCTTAATGCTCCCTTGTTTGCTACCTGTACTTCTTCAAATGATAAAAAGCTTCATTGCTACCTTAGTTCACCAAAATGCTTCAGCACAAATGTACTATATGAATCACTATCGCTCTGTCTTGCAAGAAGGCATAGGTAGTGAGAATGAAAGTGAGAACTCCCACTATTGAGTGAAATTCTCAAAGGGGTGGAATAAGGGAGGAGAGCATATTGTTTATGGCCAATTTCTGCCTCCAAAGAAAGAAGAAGTAAAAACTAACAGGCAGAAATGAAATCCACAAGCAGACAGCCTGGTGCCACACCCTGGGCCTGGCCGTTAAAGATCAACCCCTGACCTAATCGATTATATTATCTATAGATTACAGACATTGTATAGAAAAGCACTGTGAAAATCCCTGTCCTGTTCTGTGCTATTCTAATTACCGGTGCATGCAGCCCCCAGTCATGTACCCCCTGCTTGCTCAATCAATCACGACACTCTCACATGGACCCCCTTAAAGTTGTGAGCCCTTAAAAGGGACAGGAATTGCTCACTTGGGGAGCTCGGTTGTTGGAGATGTGAGTCTTGCCGAAGCTCCCAGCTGAATAAAGCCTTTCCTTCCTTAACTCGGTGTCTGAGGGGTTTTGTCTGCAGCTTGTCCTGCTACAGAAGTGGAGGCAGTCTTGTGGCACTGAGCCCTCAACCTGTGGGATCTGATGCTAACTTCAGGTAGACAGTGTCAGAATTGAATCAAATTAGAGGACACCCAGCTGGTGTCTCCTATACAACTAATTGCTTGCTTGGTGTGTGGGGAAAAACCCTCACACATTTGGTCACAGAAGTCTTTTGTGTTGATTGCTGTGGTGTGAGAGCAGAGAAAAAGTTTCCTTTTTTTTTTTTTTCTAATGGCTCTAATTCTATTATATGGACTCTACCCTCATGACCTAATTACCTGTCAAAAACCCCATCTCTGAATAATACCTAATAAGAGGGTTAGTGCTTTAACATGAATTTTGAGGGGGACACATTTAGCCCATAACAATTTAGGTTTGCACAGAATAGAAAGATTAGCCAACATTGTTCCCCAAAGAGAAAATTAATACATGTGTTTTAGTTACCTTGAAGTCTTCAATAAATAAACTAGAAGTTTCTTTCCTCCTCATATAATCCTGGGCTAGAATGGCAGCTCCATGACCATAGAGAGCCAGGCTTCTACCTTATTTCTCTGCCATCCTCAATACATGGCTCCCTCCTCATTGTTCACGGTGATTACTGGAACTATAGCCATAACCTCCACATTCCAACCAGCAAGAAGGATAAAGAAGGGCATGCAGCCGGGTGCGGTGGCTCACACCTGTAATCCCTGCACTTTGGGAGGCTGAGGCGGGTGGATCACCTGAGGTCAGGAGTTTGAGACCAGTCTGGCCAACATGATGAAACCCCATCTCTATTAAAAATACAAAAACTCAGCTTGGCATGGTGGCATGTGCCTGTAATCCCAGCTACTCAGGAGGCTGAGGCAGGAGAATTGCTTGAACCCAGGAGGCGGAGGTTACAGTGAGCCAAGATCACGTCACTGCACTCCAGCCTGGGCAACAAGAGCAAAATTCTATCTTAAAAAAAAAAAAATAAAAAAGAACAAAAAAAGAAGGGCATGCCTCTCTGTTTTTATGATAGCAACTAACTAAACAATTCTCTGCATTAGGTACAAAGTTCTAAGAATTTATTACCAATTTCCATAGAGCCCAGAGGTCCGATACGCTGACATCCTTTTGCAAAGTGGGAGATTTCTCACATTTCCACCTTATGGCTAATTATGCCACCTTAGGGTAGCAATAAAATCAAATTTTACACACTTTTTTTTTTTCCAATAGTCTTTGCCAGTATGCTAGCAGGAAAAAAAAAGTATGGTATTCAAATAAAGTGACTTCTGGTGTGGAAAACAGCAAGCGTTGTCCCATAAAACTTCAAAACTGACCTAAAACTGGTATAAGAACTCCTACAGAACTCCCACATCATCAAAAATGGAGGGAAAATATTAATTTTTCAAAGACCAAAAATACAGAATATTTTTGTGTAGATGTCAGTAAGGATGCTTTGGTGGTACTATCTTAAGACTGAAACAAAACAGAGGAGATGATTATATATACATTCATGTGTGCTTTTTCTGGATTCTCATTATCTTTAATTTTCTTGTTCCTGGGAAAGGCATACACAACCCTGAGGCTCCTTTTGTAATAAGACCTTTCCAAAGGTCTCTGGTTCAATGGCACTCAATAAATATTTTAAAATAGTAAAATTGAAGGCAACATTTTTAAATGTCCCAAGACAATATCCTGTCTCACAAGCATTAGGATTAGTACTCAAGGAAGAGAATTTCTGGTAAAACACTGATAGAGCTTAGTATAGCATACTTCACAATAGTCTGGAAGAGATTACTAAGAGCTCACCCACTAGGGATTAAAGCCAAAATTTTCTGAACAGGCTGATGATTAGGTTATTAAGGATAATCTGGTCCTTGATCCAGTAGTGATTCTCTACCATCAACAACTTGATGATGGGTAAGCTACAAGGAACCATAAAAAAAGAAAGAAAACACATTCCAATCCCTTCTGGTGATGCATACCTCGTTGTTCTAGGCAAACATGAGATATCCAGCTGTTAAAAGTTGTTATCTGAATTTTAGAAGGGCAATAAAATGTATGCTTATAAGGAATGAAGTGTTATACCTGTTTTTGGAGAATATACCCTGTTTTACTTTTTAGGGAGATATTAAAATCATTTTGTTTTCTTGAAAACTTGAATTTGTGAGTTCCTAAGATATGAGTAAGCCATACTTAACATCTGTGGGGGCCCATTTAGACCCCCAAAGTTGGCATAAAGATTATTTTAAAGTGAAAACATTTGAGCTACAGAATATGCCGAAAGGAATCTTATCTGAACATCTCTGATCTGACTATAGCAGACCCTCCCCAAAATACAGCTACCATTAGCCACCCTCCAAGGGAGCTTCCTGCTAATTCAGCTGCCAAAGAGACACAGACTGTCCATTCCTATTAGCATCAAAAAGCCCAGTAGTACTTTCCCATTGTTCCCCTTCAAGTTCTAACACCACAAGCCCCTCCCCTCCCATTAAATTGTTATATAAATTCTTATCTCCGGTTATTCAGTGAGTTGCTCATCATTGAGCAACTCTCAAATGCACATGGAAATAAACCTTGTTTTTTTTCTTATTAATCTATTGTCAGTGAATTCGCAGGCCTCCAACCACTGGAACCTCAAATGGTAGAGGAAAGAGTTCCTCCCAAAACTATCTAAGACTCTCTAAGATTATTCTGCCACAAAGACATAAATTGGGGTGGGGAAGGGAATCCAATAAAAATCGTAGACTTGAAGGTATAAAATAAACTTGCTCAGGATAAAACAGAGTAAGTTAGATAGAGTAAGGCTCATAGTTTTAGCCAGATGTGGAAAATTATTTTTGATTTTCTCCTGTGTTCAGGGTCTGTATTAGTCAGCGTTCTCTAGAGGGACAGAACTAAAGGAATATATATATATATATATATATATATAGTTTATTAAGTACAACTCACATGATCACAAGGTCCCACAATAGGCCATCTACAGACTGAGGAGGAAGAAGAGCCAGTCCAAGTTCCAGAACTGAAGAACTTGGAGTCTGATGTTCAAGGGCAGGAAGCATCCAGCATGGCAGAAAGATGTAGGCTGGGAGGCTAGGCCAGTACCTTTTTTCACATTTTCTATCTGCTTATTATATTCTAGCCATGCTGGCAGCTGATTAGATGGTACCCAACCCGATTAAGGGTGGGTCTGCCTTGCCCAGCCCACCGACTCAAATGTTAATCTCCTTTGGCAACACCCTCACAGATACACCCAGGATGAATACTTGGTATCCTTCAATCCAATCAAGTTGACACTCAGTATTAACCATCACAAGTCCACCCTTTGTCAACTTGAACCCATACACATCTCCTGAGATCATACATAATATTCAAATAAAGACAATAATAAGGTCATAATTATGCCTAACATAACTATCCTTCATACAACTGGAAACACACCAATCCCCAACCCAAATACTATTACATAAAGTTAACAATACTTAAATGTTGATGTCAAGTCAATAAATCTTACATCACATGATAAAGGAGAAAGGAAACAAAATAAAGATATTTTCTTAGTACAAGTGTATACATGCAAAAACATGTTTTTAACAAAAGAAGGAGTAAATACTCATGACAATTACAGTCCTGGTTTCTGCAGCTGGTCACGTGGTCGTAGCTGGTATTGATGACCACCTTCTTCTACTACTCATTCTGTATTCCCTTTGCCTTCAACAAGCACCTCAGCAGGCTGTGGTTTTTTCCCTGGTGGAGTGACCCAAACCTTCATTCCTGAAGGGTCTGGGTCATTTGTAGTCCTGCCTGGATTGGGCTGTTGTAGTTTCCCATTGACCTTAATCACAGGGCATGGTAATACTAAGAGATGTCCTAATGGATCTTCTGTATTCCATGCTTACTCTTCCTTACCTCTGCTGTGGAGTAGTAGACTGATTTCATCTTGATAGTCCAGGTCAATCACCTCAGTCAACACTGTAACTCCCTTCTTAGCCTGTTGATTTAAAGATAGCAGGAGTCCAAAGTGTCCAGGTGGCAATCTTAACTTCCAGTTTAACGGAATTGCTGTTGTGTCTCCTGGTGGCAGCGTTCCTCCCTCTGGAACTAAGACCTCTAGGCCAACAGAACGTAACGTCATGGGAAGAGGCAGCAAAAATTTTGCTGGTGGATCACTAGGGGTGATGGTGAGTGGTGCCACTTCCACTTCCACCTCTTGATTCCTGGACCTGTGAGTCCTGGCTATGGGAGAAACAGTACCGTATATTAAACGCTGATTCAGAGCATACATGGCCTGCTGGAGAACTTTGCCCCCACCCTGCAAAGTATTTTCACCTAGTTGGCATTGCAATTGTGACTTCAAAAGGCCATTCCTCCATTCTATCAATCCAGCTGCTTCAGGATGATGGGGAACGTGGTAAGACCAGTGAATTCCATGAGCATGGAGCCCACTGCCACACTTCTGTAGCCATAAAGTGGGTGCTTTGGTCAGAGGCAATGCTGTGTGGAATACCATGATGGTGGATAAGGTATTCCATGAATCCCTGGATGGTAGTCTGGGCAGAAGCATTGAATGCAAGACAGACAAACCCATATTTGGAGTTAAGTGTCTATTCCATTGAGGACAAACCTCTGCCCTTTTCATGATGGAAGAGGTCCAATATAATCAACCTGCCACTAGGTAGCTGGCTGATCACCCCCAGGAATGGTGCTATATTGAGGGCTCAGTGCTGGTCTCTGCTGCTGGCAAATTGGGCAGTCAGCAGTGGCCATAATCAGGTCAGCCTTGGTGAGTGGAGGTCGATGTTGCTGAGCCCATGCATAACCTCCATCCCTGCCACCATGGCCACTTTGTTCATGGGCCCATTGGGCGATGACAGGGGTGGCTGGGGAAAGAGACTGAGTGGTGTCCACAGAACAGGTCATCCTATCCACTTGATTATTAAAATCCTCCTCTGCTGAGGTCACCCACTGGTGAGCACTCATGTGGGATACAGATATCTTCACAGTTTTTGGCTACTCAGAGAGGTCCATCTGCATACCTCTTCCCCAAATGTCTTTGTCACCAATTTTCCAATCATGCTTCTTCCAAGTCCCTGATCATCCAGCCAAACCACTGGCTACAGCCCATGAATCAGTATATAATCACACATCTGGCCATTTCTCCTTCCATGCAAAGTGCACAACCAGGTGCACTGCTCAAAGTTCTGCCCACTAGGAAGATTTCCCTTCACCATTGTCCTTCAGGGATGTCCTAGAAAGGGGCTGTAGTGCTGCAGCTGTCCACTTTCGGGTGGTGCTTGCATATCACGTAGAACCATCTGTGAACCAGGCTCTAGTTCTCTTCCTCTCTTCTCTTCCTCTGTCAACTGAGCAAATGGAACTCCCCATGAGGCCATTGGTGCAGGCTGGGGGAGAGAAGGCAGGGTGGCAGGAGTGGAGAACATGGGCATTTGAGTCACTCCATCATGTAACTTACTTGTGCCTTCAGGACCTGCTTGAGCCCAATCACGTTATATACCACTTTCATTTGGAGATGGTATGCTGCTGTGCACAACCCACTTTATGGCTAGATGGGTCAGAAAGCACCCAGTTCATGACAGGCAGTTCAGGTCCTATGCTGACTTGATGACCCATAGTCAATTGTTCAGTTTCCACCAAAGCCCAGTGACAGGCAAGAGCTGTCTCTCAAAAGGAGAGTAGTTATCTGCAGAAGATGGCAGGGCCTTGCTCCAAAATCCTAGAGGCCTCTTCTGTGATTCACTTATGGGGGCCTACCAAAGGCTCCAAACAGCATCCCTATCTGCCACTGACACCTCAAGCACCATTGGATCTGCTGGGTCATATGGCCCAAGTAGCAGAGCAGTTTGTACAGCAGCCTGGATCTGTTGTAGAGCCTTCTGTTCTGGACCCCACTCAAAACTGGCAGCATTTTGGGTCACTTGACAAATGGGCCGGAGTAACACATCCAAATGAGGAATGTGTTGCCTGCAAAATCCAAATAGGCCCACTAGGCATTGTGCCCCTTCCTGGGTTGTAGAAGGGGCCAAATGCAGCAACGTAACCCTCACCTTAGAAGGAATGTCTCGACAGACCCCACACCACTGGACTCCTAGAAATTTTACTGAGGTGGAAGTTCCCTGAATTTTACCCAGATTTATTTCCCATCCTATGGCACACAAATGTCTCACCAATAAGTCCAGTGAGTTTACTACTTCTTGCTCACTGGATCCAAACGGCATAATGGCATCAATGTAATAGACCAGTGTGATATCTTGTGGAAGCGAAAAGCAATCAAGGTCTCTCCGAAAAAGATTATACCACAAAGCCAGAGAGTTGATATATCCCTGAGGTAGGACAGTAAAAGCATATTGCTGGCCTTGCCAGCTGAAGGCAAATTGCTTCTAGTGGGCCTTATGAACAGGAATGGAAAAAAATGCACTTGCCAAGTCAATGGTGGCATACCAGGTACCAGGAGATGTGTTAATTTGCTCAAGCAATGAAACCGCATCTTGTACAGCAGCTGCAATTGGAGTCACCACTTGGTTAAGCTTACAATAATCCACTGTCATTCTCCAAGACCCATCTGTCTTCTTCACAGACCAAATAGGAAAGTTGAACAGGGATGTTTTGGGAATCACCACCACTGTATCTTTCAAATCTTTGATGGTAGCACTAATCTCCACAGTCCCTCCAGGGATGTGATGTTGTTTTTGATTTACTATTTTTCTAGGTAGAGGCAGCTCTAATGGCTTTGATTTGACCTTTGCCACCATAATAGCCCTCACCCTACCAGTCAGGAAGCCAATGTGGGGGTTCTACCAGCTGCTAAGGATGTCTATGCCAAATATGCATTCTGACACTGGGGAAATGACCACAGGATAAGTCTAGGGAACCAGCGCACCCAATGTTAAGTCGGACCTGAGCTAAAACTCCATTAATTACCTGATCTTCATAAGACCCTACTTCAATTGGAGGACAACAATGATGTTTTGGGTCCCCTGGAATCAATGTGAGCTCAGAGCCAGTGTCCAACAGTTCCTGAAATATCTGATCATTTCCCTTTCCCCAGTGCACAGTTACCCTGGTAAAAGGCCAGAGGTCTCCTTGAGGAAGGATGGGTGAAAGATTCACTACATAAATTGTTGGTAATGTAGTGGGGTCCTTCCTGAAGGGTACCTGGCCTCCCCTTCATTCAAGGGGCTCCAGATCTGTAAACTGGCTCAAGTCTGGAAATTGAGGGGCTGTGATTCTCTCTTTTTATAATTCAAATCAGTATTTTGTCCATTCGACCTAGAAGTTTTCTGCTTTTATAAATTAAGCAGAAATGCAGTAGGCTTCCTGTCGATTTAACTTCTAGAAACACCATAATTAATTAGCCATTGCCAGAGCTCTACAAGAGTCAGACTATTTTTTTTTTTTTTTTTTTTTTTTTAGTACTTTAAGTTCCAGGGTACATGTGCACAACATGCGGGTTTTTTTTTACATAGGTATACATATGCCATGTTGGTTTCCTGCACCCATTAACTTGTCATTTACATTAGGTATTTCTCCTAATGCTATTCCTCCCCCATACCCCCACCCCATGCCAGACCCCAGTGTGTGATGTTCCCCGCCCTGTGTCCCAGTGTTCTCATTGTTCAATTTCCACCTATAAGTGAGAACATGTGGTGTTTGGTTTTCTGTTCTTGCGATAGTTTGCTCAGAATGATGGTTTCCAGCTTCACCCATGTCCCTACAAAGGACATTAACTCATCCTTTTTTACGGCTGCATAGTATTCCATGGTGTACATGTGCCACATTTTCTTAATCCAGTCTATCATTGATGGACATTTGGGTTAGTTCCAAGTCTTTGCTATTGTGAATAGTGCCACAATAAACATACGTGTGCATGTGTCTTTATAGTAGCATGATTTATAATCCTTTGGGTATGTACCAAGTAATGGGATGGCGGGTCAAATGATATTTCTAGTTCTAGATCCTTGAGGAATCGCCACACTGACTTCCACAATGGTTGAACTAGTTTACACTCCCACCAACAGTGTAAAAGCGTTCCTATTTCTCCACTTACTCTCCAGCACCTGTTGTTTCCTGACTTTTTTAATGATCACCATTCTAACTGGTGTGAGATGGTATCTCATTGTGGTTTTGATTTGCATTTCTGATGAGAAATGCATGAGCATTCAGTGACAATGAGCATTTTTTCATGTGTCTGTTGGCTGCATAAATATCTTCTTTTGAGAAGTGTCTGTTCATATCCTTTGCCCACTTTTTGATGGGGTTGTTTGATTTTTTCTTGTAAATTTGTTTAAGTTCTTTGTAGATTCTGGGTATTAGCCCTTTGTCAGATGGGTAGACTGCAAAAATTTTCTCCCATTCTGTAGGCTGCCTGTTCACTCTGATGATAGTTTCTTTTGCTGTGCAGAAACTCTTTAGTTTAATTAGATCCCATTTGTCTATTTTGGCGTTTGTTGCCATTGCTTTTGGTGTTTTAGTCATGGAGTCCTTGCCCATGCCTATGTCCTGAATGGTATTGCCTAGGTTTTCTTCTAGGATTTTTATGGCTTTAGGTCTAACGTTTAAGTCTTTCATCCATCTTGAATTAATTTTTGTATAAGATGTAAGGAAGGGATCCAGTTTCAGCTTTCTACATAGGGCTAGCCAGTTTTCCCAACACCATTTATTAAATAGGGAATCCTTTCCCCATTGCTTGTTTTTGTCAGGTTTGTCAAAGATCAGATGGTTGTAGATGTGTGGTGTTATTTCTGAGGCCTTTGTTCTGTTCCATTGGTCTATCTCTCTGTTTTTGTACCAGTATCATGCTGTTTTGGTTACTGTAGGCTTGTAGTATAGTTTGAAGTCAGGTAGCATGATGCCTCCAGCTTTGTTCTTTTTGCTTAGGATTGTCTTGGCAATGCGGGCTCTTTTTGGTTCCATATGAACTTTAAAGTAGTTTTTTCCAATTCTGTGAAGAAAGTTATTGGTAGCTTGACGGGGATGGCACTGAATCTATAAATTACCTTGGGTAGTATGGCCATTGTCACGATATTGATTCTTCCTATCCATGAGCATGGAACGTTCTTCCATTTGTTTGTGTCCTCTTTTATTTCGTTGGGCAGTGGTTTATTGTTCGCCCTCAAGAGGTCCTTCAAATACCTTGCAAGTTGGATTCCTAGGTATTTTATTCTCTTTGTAGCAATTGTGAATGGGAGTTCACTCATGATTTGGCTCTCTGTCTGTTATTGGCGTACAGGAATGCTTGTGATTTTTGCACATTGATTTTCTATCCTGAGACTTTGCTGAAGTTGTTTATTAGCTTAAGGGGATTTTGGGCTGAGACGATGGGGTTTTCTAAATATACACTCATGTCATCTACAAACAGAGACAATTTGACTTCCTGTTTTCCTAATTGAATACCCTTTATTTCTTCCTCTTGCCTGATTGCCCTGGCCAGAACTTCCAACACTATGCTGAACAGGAGTGGTGAGAGAGGGCATCCCTGCCTTGTGTCGGTTTTCAAAGGGAATGCTTCCAGTTTTTGCCCATTTAGTATGATATTGGCTGTGGGTTTGTGATAAATAGCTCTTATTATTTTGAGATATGTTCCATCAATACCTAGTTTACTGAGAGTTTTTAGCATGAAGCGCTGTTGAATTTTGTCAAAGACCTTTTCTGCATCTATTGAGATAATCATGTGGTTTTTGTCTTTGGTTCTGTTTATGTGATGGATTACGTTTATTGATTTGAGCATGTTGAACCAGCCTTGCATCCCAGGGATGAAGCCGACTTGATCTTGGTGGATAAGCTTTTTGATGTGCTGATGGATTCGGTTTGCCAGTATTTTATTGAGGATTTTCGCATAGATATTCATCAGGGATATTAGTCTAAAATTCTCTTTTTTTGTTGTGTCTCTGCCAGGTTTTGGTATCAGGATCATGCTGGCCTCATAAAATGAGTTAGGGAGGACTCCCTCTTTTTCTATTGATTGGAATAGTTTCAGAAGGAATGGGACCAGCTCCTCTTTGTACCTCTGGTAGAATTCGGCTGTGAATCTGTCTGGTCCTGGACTTTTTTGGTTGTTAGGCTATTAATTATTGCCTCAATTTCAGAGCCTGTTATTGGTCTATTCAGGGATTCCACTTCTTGCTGGTTTAGTCTTGGGAGGGTGTATGTGTCCAGGAATTTATCTATTTCTTCTAGATTTTCTAGTTTATTTGCATAGAGGTGTTTATAGTATTTTCTGATGGTAGTTTGTATTTCTGTGGGATCAGTGGAGATATCCCCTTTATCATTTTTTATTGCGTCTTTTTGATTCTTCTCTTTTCTTATTAGTCTTACTAGCAGTCTGTCAACTTTGTTGATCTTTTTAAAAAAACAGCTCCTGGATTCAGTGATTTTTTGAAGGGTTTTTTGTGTCTCTATCTCCTTCAGTTCTGCTCTGATCTTAGTTATTTCTTGCCTTCTGCTAGCTTTTGAATTTGTTTGCTCTTGTTTCTCTAGTTCTTCTAATTGTGATGTTAGGGTGTCAATTTTAGATCCTTCCTTCTTTCTCTTGTGGGCATTTAGTGCTATAAAGTTCCCTCGACACACTGCGTTAAATGTGTCTGTATTAAATGGAGTCTGTATTAGTACCCCTTTCCAATAACAATACCTACAGATTTGGATGAATTCTTCTCTTGTTGAGATCCTCAAGATATCCTAGGGTCCTGGGCCTGCCAGGAAGTGACATTCTTTTCTCACCTGTAAGGCCCAGAACCCTGTAAGCCGGGTATCAGTCCAGTTTTTCCAAAGGGAAGAGAGATTAATTGGCATTATAAAATCCACCTTCGTTTCTTTTTTAAATTTTTATTTTTTTTGAGACAGGGTCTTGCTCTGTCACCAAGGCTGGAGGGCAGTGGCGCCATCTCAGCTCAATACAACCTCTGTCTGCCTGCAACCTCCGCCTCTCTGCATCCTCTGCCTCCCAGGCTCAAGCCATCCTCCCACCTCAGCCTCCTGAGTAGCTAAGACTACAGGCGCGCCTTACCATGCCTGGCTAATTTTTTGTATTTTTTTTTTTTTTTTTTTTTTGTAGAGACGAGTTTTCGTCATGTTGCTCAGGTTGGTCAAAAACTCATGAACTCAAGCAATCCACGTGCTTCACCCTCCCATCGTGCTGGGATTACATTAGAGGCATGAGCCATTGGGCCTCAACCTTAGTTTCTTGAAGCTGCTTGTGATAGAGACAGTAGACAGTGAAGAGTACCCAGTGAAACCCAACCTTCAGGCCTAAAACAGCCTGAAGGCTGAAAGATTGGACTGCTGGTCCCAGATGAAAAACACGACCCAGAGGGAGAACTGCCCCTGTTTGTCCACCCTTTCCCAACTGATTCTTTCTGAATAATGCCCACATGTGCACTGGAGGAATGGGGTGGAGTGACCAGGAATTTGCACCTTATGCAGGGGGAGGAGTCTGGCTCTTCAGCTCATGTGTGGGGGCCTGATATTCAATCTGTGAGGTGGGAGGCCATTGGCAGGACACCCCTCACTTTGCTGAAAGTTTTTTTTTTCTTCCTTTTTGCCCAATAAATTCCACTGTCCTCACCCTTCAGAGTGTCCACATGCCTAATTTTTCCTGGTCGTGGCAGAAGAATCCAGATTTAGCTTAACTAAGGAACAAAAATTCTGCATCGCTTGGTCATATCTGATCTATACACATTCTCAAGTACGACGTTCCAGTCAAAACCTTGGTTATAAAACCAATGCTTCCAATTATGTTCTGTTACGAAGAGAACAGATTCTTATTGAACTTACATAAATAACTTTATTGCCATGAAAAAAGGATAGTCACTAATAGCTTCTGAATTCTGGACGGGTCAAGTAGGGAGAAAAAGTAATTGTATTTTGTTTATAAAGGAGTAATCTACCAAGCTGCTGTAAGCAATAGGTAGTCTAAGAGAAAAAAGAAAATTTTCCTTAAATCTGGAAAACAAAACCAGCAATGATTCAAATAAAATGTCATGAGTTCATTTAGTCTCATGTAACTAATTCTTGTTCTGCTAGATTTTGGTTCTAGCAATTTTATGAACCCAAGAGTTTCCTTATCAGAGTTCTGGAAATCCTTACCCAATTCAAGGTATAACAAAGTTACCAGAAACCTGAACCTATCAGTTATTTTCATGAATCTACTTGAAGATGAAATACTTTCAGACTACACTTACTTGTAAATGTAAGGTTCTTGTATTGGTTCAAACACCGTCTCAAAAAAAGAGAACTGCCCAAAACTGGGTAATTTATAAAGGAAAGAGGCTTAATTGACTCACAGTTCAGCATGGCTGGGGAGGCCTCGGGAAACTTAAAATCATGGCAGAAGGTGAAGGGAAACCCAGGCACCTTCTTCACAAGGCAGCAGGAAGGAGAATTGCCGAGCAAAGGGGGAAAAGCCCCTTACAAAACCATCAGATCTTGTGAGAACTCACCCACTAGCGTGAGAACAGCATGGAGGAACTGCCCCCATGATTCAATTACATCCACCTGGTCTCTCCTTTGGCACGTGGGGATTATAGGGATTATGGAAATTTCAATTCAAGATGAGATTTGGGTGGGAACACAAAGCCTAACCATATCATTCTGCCCCTGGCCCCTCCCAAATCTCAGGTCTTTTTCACATTTCAAAACCAATCATGCCTTCCCAACACTCCCTCAAAGTCTTAATTCATTCCAGCATTAACCCAAAAGTCCAAGTCCAAAGTCTCTTTGAGACAAGGTAAGTGCTCTCCACCCATAAGCTTGTAAAATCAAAAGCTGAACAATTGATTTACAGCCTTGTTGCCATGGGTGAGACCGCCAGTTGGCCCATTACTCAATACAACCATCACAACCAGATGTGCAGACCTCTATACCCTACCCCTCACGTGCTTTACCCAGCCCAGCCTGTATACCCTACCCCCAGTATCAATTCTTGCACTTTGCCTAATAAAAATCCCAACCTTTTCAAAGAGTCAGTGAGGGAATTCTCTCTCTCTTGTGCTGCCTCCCTTATGCCCATGCATAAGCTCCAGTGAAGTCTCAGGAAAACTCTTTGGGCCTCACATCAATTTCTATTGCATTGAGAGCCCAAGAACCCATAGTTTCTAACAAGCCTAGACAATGCAGTGTGAACCCCCTGAAAAAATTTTAAAGAAAAAGAAAAGGAAGAACTTGGTGTAAGAACCACGTTGGGAGGAGAGAAGGGTGTGTCTTACGTTAATGAATTCAATTTGGGATTTTAAAGAATAATTCTTTAAGATAGTCCCCAAATCCCTATCTAGATGCCTCTCCTTTGCTTGGTGAAATAAGTCAATGGAGTTTGCTGAAAGATCAGCCACAGGACATGATCACAAAAGGCAGAGGAGTGAGACAAAGAAAGCTAAATGGTTTAGTCTACATGATAAAGAATTAAGAGTGAAACTCTGTCAAAAAAAAAAAAAAAAAAAAGAATCTGGAGTTTCCTGAAAAAACTTTCAGATAGAGGGATAGGACCTTGCAACCCAGTAAACTGGAACCCATGGTGCGAAAGGGGGTTGGGGAGATGAGAGTGACTGAGGAAATGAGAACAAGGAAGTCTAACTATTGGTGCTTGCTTATCCTCATTACCACTGCCCCTGCCCGTCCCTGCCACTGCCTCCAAAGAAGCTTTTTGGTACAGGGGTGCACTACACAACTACCATATGTTAGTGATAGTTTGTGGGAATTGAAAACAACACAAAAACCAATGCTATATCCCACATTAGTTGGGAAGAGGAGAGGTGGAAACAGGAGGAAGGATAAACTGAGATGGCATTTAGTAGGGGCACAGGAAACAAAGGGCAAAGACCAGGAGAATTCATAGAAATAGAGGAATAAGGGGATGGAGCTCCAACTACTTTCGTTTTAGTGTAGTGTGACCATCCCCCCCCCCACACACATATGTATACATAAGGTGGGTGAGCTGGAGTCATTTGAGAGCCCGAAGTGTGATTGTGTTAAATCAAGGTGTCTCTAAACCAGTTTGAACTTCTGAATGGATTCCCTACTGTAAGGAGCTCCTTCCTGTTACCTAAATCCTTTTCAGAATACAAGTCCTTTGCCAAGTGTATACTCTGCAAATATCTACTTCAAGTGTGTCGTTTGCCTTTGCTCCCATTATGGTGTCTTTTGAGAAAGAGCAGCTCTCATTTTTCTTGGAGCCCAATTTTTCAATGTATCAATAAAGTATGATGAATACTTTTTTAATGAAGTCTTTGCCAACCCCAAAGTCATAAAGATATTCTCTTATGCTTTCTTCTGAAAGCTTCGTTAGTTTAATCTGTTACATTAGGTCTAAAATCCTTCTTGTGGTTTTTGTAAAGAAGAAGCGTTCTGGATACATGTATTTTACTTATAGATATCTGATTGGCACAGCACCATTTATTGGGAAGACCATACCCACTGCACTACAATAACACCTTTATAAAAAAAAAATCAATAGTGGTCTATTTCTGGATTTTCTATTCTGTTATCTAGTCAGCTTGCCTATCTGTGCTAATACCACACTGTCTTAATTACGATCACTGTAAGTTTTAGAATCTAGTAGTAATATCTACAAATCTTCTTCAAGCACACCTTTGCAATATGCGGCACATTTGTTTTTATATATATTTTAGAATCAGCTTATTTTTATATAAACCTGCTGGGAGTTTGATTAGGATTAGATTAAATCTATCGATTTGGGGGGAACTAAAATCTTTACAATCGTGAGTCTTCCACCCCATTAACATGATATAACCCTCCATTTATTTAAAGCTACTTAAAAAGATCTTTTATATCTTTGATTAGATTTATTCTAAGGTTTTTAATTTTTTGTAAGTAATATCATCTTCCTTATTTCTTTTTTTGTTACTTTGTTGCTAATATTTAAAAAATTGATTTTTTGTATGTTGATCTCATTTCACAAAATTGTTAAATTTACTTATAGTTATTCTACATTAATAACTATAATTCTTTTTTTTCCTTTTTAAATTTCAATAGCTTTAGGGGTACAAGTGGTTTTTGGTTACATGGATTAATTGTATAGTTGAAAGTCTGAGAGTTTAATGTACCTGTCACCTGAGTAGTGGACACTGTACCCAATATGCAGTTTTTTATCCCTTATCCTCATTTCACCCCTCCCCCTTGTCAGTCTCCAATGTCCATTCTACCACTCTGTATGCCTTTGCATACCCATAGCTTAGCTCCCATTTATAAGTGAGAAAATACGGTATTTGTTCCATTCCTGAGTTACTTCACTTAGAATAATGACCTCCAGCTCCATCCAAGTTGCTGCAAAAGACATCATTTCATTTTTTCGTGGCTGAGTAGTTCTCGATGGTGTATATATACCATGTTTTCTTTATCCATTCATCAGCTGATGAACACTTAGGTTGGTTCCATATCTTTGCAATTGTGAATTGTGCTGCAATAAACATATGTGTGCAGGTGTCTTTTTTTGAAATAATGACTTCTTTTCCTTTGGGTAGATACCCTGTAGTGGGATTGCTGGATCAAATGGTAGATCTTTTTTTTTTTTTTTTTTTTTTTTGAGACAAGGACTCAGTCTGTCACTGAGGCTGGAGTGCAGTGGCATGAAAATGGCTCAGTGCAGCCTCTACCTCCTGAACTCAAGCAATCCTCCCACCTCAGCCTCCTGAGACCACAGCTCATCTCCTAGCTGGGACCACAGGCTGGCAACTCCTGTGGCTAATATTTTACTTATTTGTTTGTATTGACATGGTCTCACCATGTTGCCCAGGCTAGTCGGGAACTCCAGGGATCAAGCAATCCTCTTGCCTTGGCCTCCCAAAATGCTAGGATTACAGGCGTGAGCCACTGCACCTGGACTAGATCTACTTTTAGTTGTTTGAGAAATCTCCACACTATTTTTAGAGATAGTACTAATTTACATTTCCACCAGTAGTGTATAAGCATTTGTGGTTGGGTGAAGTGGCTCATGACTGTAATCCCAGCACTTTGGGAGGCTGAGGTGGGAGGATCACTTGAGCCCAGGAGTTCAAGGCCAACGTGGGCAACATAGTGAGACCCTGTCTCTACAAAAAAAAATTTTTTTTAATTAGCCAGGCATGGTGGCACATACCCATAGTCCCAGCTACTTGGGAGGCTGAGGTGGGAGCATCACTTGAGCCCAGGAGCTTGAGACTGCAGTGAACCATGTTCATGCCACTGCACTCCAGTCTGGGTGACAGAGTGAGACCCTATCTCAAAACAAAAAACAACAACAACAAAAAAACATCATTCCCCTTTCACCACATCAATGCCAACATTTGTTGTTTTTTGACTTTTCAATAATGGCCATTCTGGCGGGGGTAAGATGGTATCTCACTGTAGTTTAATTTGCATTTTCCTGATGATTAATGATGTCGAGCATTTTTTCATGTTTGTTGGTCATTTGTACATCTTCCTTTGAGAAATGTCATTTGCCCAATTTTTGATGGGATTATTTGTTTTTTTCTTACTGATTTGTTTGAGTTCCTTGTAGATTCTGGATATTAATCCTTTGTTGGATGCATAGTTTTCAAGTATTTTCTCCCATTCTGTGGGTTGTCTGTTTACTCTGATTATTATTTTTGCTATGCAGAAGATTTTTAGTTATAATTAGGTTTCATTTATTTATTTTTGCTTTTGTTGTATTTGCTTTAGGAGTCTTAGTCATAAATTCTAGGTTTTCCTAGGTTTTCTTCTAGAATTTTTATGGCTTCAAGTCTTAGATTTAAGACTTCAATTCATCTTGAGTTGATTTTTGTACACGATGAGAGATAGGGATCCAGTTTCTTTCTGCTACATGTGGGCATCCAGTTTGCCCAGCACCATTTATTGTATAGGGTATCCTTTCCCTAATTTGTGTTTTTGTATGCTTTGTCAAAGATCAGTTGGTTGTAAGTGCATGGCTTTATTTTTGGGTTCTCTATTATGTTCCATTGGTCTATGTATTTACTTTTATACAAGTACCATGCTGTTTCGGTTACTATAGTCTTATAGTATAATTTGAAATTCGAGTAATGTGATAACTCTAGATTTGTTCTTTTTGTTTAGGATTGCTATTCAGGCTCTTTTTTGGATCCATATCAATTTTGGGATCAATTTCCTAATTCTGTGGAAAACGATGTGGTATTTTGATAAGAATTACATTGAATCTGTAGATTGCTTTGGGCAATATGGTCATTTTCACGATATTGATCCTTTCAATCCATGAATATGGGATATATTTCCATTTGTTTGTGTCATCTATAATTTCTTTCAGCAATGTTTTGTAGTTATCCTCGTAGAGATCTTTCATCTCTTTGGTTAAGTATCTTCCTATGTATTTTTTTTCTTTTGCAGCTATTGTAAAAGGGATTGAGTTCTTGATTTGATTCTCACCCTGGTTGTTTTATAGCAGTGCCACTGTTTTGTGTACACTGATTTTGTAATCTGAAACTTTACTGAATTCATTTATCAAATACAGAAGTCTTTTGGAGGAGTCTTTAGGGTTTTCTAGGTACACAGTCATATCATCGGAAACCAGGGATAGTTTGACTTCCTCTTTTCCAATTTGGATGCCCTTTATTTCCTTCTCTTGCCTGATTGCTCTGGCTAGGACTTCCAATAACTATAATTCTAAGATTCTTTCTGTGGTCTTTTGAATTTTTATAAGTACAACATGTTGTTGACTGAAAATTTCTCTTACTCCCACTTCTTTTTATATGTGGTAAATTAAGTTGATTTTTCTTTTTTCTTTTTCTTTCTAATTATACTTTTAAGTTCTGGGGTACATGTGCAGAATATGCAGGTTTGTTACATAGGTATACACGTGACATGCTGGTTAGCTGCACCCATCAACCCGTCATCCGTATTAGGTATTTCTCTTAATGCTATCCCTCCCCTAGTCCCTGCCCCCTGAGAGGCCCCAGTGCATGATGTTCCCCTCCCTGTGTCCATGTGTACTCATTGTTCAACTCCCACTTATGAGTGAGAAAATGCAGTGTTTGGTTTTCTGTTCTTGTGTTAGTTTGCTGAGAATGATGGTTTCCAGCTTCATCCATGTCCCTGGAAAGGTAATGACCTCATCCTTTTTTTATAGCTGCATAGTATTCCGTGGTGAATATGTGCCACGTTTTCTTTATACAGTCTATCATTGATGGGCATTTGGGTTGGTTCCAAGTCTTTGCTATTGTGAATACTGCATATTGTTTATGCAATAAACATATGTGTACATGTGTTTTTATAGTAGAATGATTTATAATCTTTTGGGTATATACCCAGTAATTGGATTGCTGGGTCAAATGATATTTCTAGTTCTAGATTCTTGAGGAATCGCCACACTGTCTTCCACAATGGTTGAACTAATTTATACTCCTGCCAACAGTGCAAAAGTGTTCCTATTTCTTGGCATCCTCTCCAGCATCTGTTGTTTCCTGACTTTTTAATGATCGCCATTCTAACTGGTGTGAGATGGTATCTCATTGTGGTTCTGATTTGCATTTCTCTAATGACCAGTCATGATAAGCTATTTTTCATATGTTTGTTGGCCACATAAATGTCTAATTTTACAAAGTGCCCGTTCATATCCTTTACCCACTTTTTGACAGGGTTGTTTTTTTCTTGTAAATTTGTTTAAATTCTTTGTAGAGTCTAGATATTAGCCCTTTGTCAGATGGATTGCAAAAATTTTCTCCCATTCTGTAGGTTGCTTGTTCACTCTGATGACAGTTTCTTTTGCTGTGCAGAAGCTCTTTAGTTTAATTAGATCCCATTTGTCTATTTTGGCTTTTGTTGCCATTGCTTTTGGTGTTTTAGTCACAAAGTCTTTGCCCATGCCTATGTACTGAATGGTATTACCTAAGTTTTCTTCTAGGGTTTTTATGGTTTTAGGTTTTACATTTAAGTCTTTAATCCATCTTGATTTAATTTTTGTATTAGGTGCAAGGAAGGGATCCAGTTTCAGCTTTCTGCAGGTTGCTAGCCAGTTTTCCCAACACCATTTATTAAACAGGGAATCCTTTCCCCATTGTTTTTGTCAGGTTTGTCAAAGATCAGATGGTTGTAGATGTGTGGTGTTATTTCTGAGGTCTCTGTTCTGTTCCATTGGTTTATATATCTGTTTTGTTACCAATATCATGCTGTTTTGGTTACTGTAGCCCTGTAGTATAGTTTGAAGTCAGGTAGCGTGATGCCTCCAGCTTTGTTCTTTTTGCTTAGGATTGTCTTGGCTATGTGGGCTCTTTTTTGGTTCCATATGAAATTTAAAGCAGATTTTTGTAATTCTGTGAAGAAAGTCAATGGTAGCTTGATGGGGATAGCATTGAATCTATAAATTACTTTGGGCAGTATGGCCATTGTCAGGATATTGATTCTTCCTATCCATGAGCATGGAATGTTTTTCCATTTATTTGTGTCCTGTCTTATTTCCCTGAGGAGTGGTTTGTAGTTTTCTTGGAAGAGGTCCTTCAAATCCCTTGTAAGTTATATTCCTAGGTATTTTATTCTCTTTGTAGCAATTGTGAATGGGAGTTCACTCATGATTTGGCTCTGTTTTTCTGTTATTGGTGTATAGGAATGCTTGTGATTTTTGCACATTGATTTTGTATCCTGAGACTTTGCTGAGGTTGTTTATCAGCTTAAGGAGGTTTGGGGCTGAGACAATGGTGTTTTCTAAATATACAATCATGTCATCTGCAAACAGGAACAATTTGAATTCCTCTTTTCCTGTTTGAATACCCTTTATTTCTTCCTCTGGTCTGATTGCCCTGGCCAGAACTTCCAATACTATGTTGAATAGGAGTGGTAAGAGAGGGCATCCTTGTCTTGTGCTGGTTTTCAAAGGGAATGCGTCCAGTTTTTGCCCATTCAGTATGATATTGGCTGTGGGTTTGTCATAAATAACTCTTATTATTTTGAGATATGTTCCATCAATACCTAGTTTACTCAGAGTTTTTAGGATGAAGGCTGTTGAATTCTGTCGAAGGCCTTTTCTGCATCTATTGAGATAATCGTGTGGTTTTGTCATTGGTTCTGTTTATGTGATGGATTACGTTTATTGGTTTGCATATGTTGAACCAGCCTTGCATCCCAAGGATGAAGCCAACTGGATCTTGGTGGATAAGCTTTTTGATGTGCTGCTGGATTTGGTTTGCCAGTATTTTATTGAGGATTTTCGTTTTGATTTTCATCAAGGATATTCACCTGTAATTTTCTTTTTTTGTTGTGTCTCTGCCAGGTTTTGGTACCAGAATGATGCTGGCCTCATAAAATGAGTTAGGGAGGATTCCCTCTTTTTCTATTGTTTGGAATAGTTTCAGAAGGAATGGTACCAGCTCCTCTTTGTACCTCTGGTAGAATTTGGCTGTGAATCTGTCTGGTCCTGGACTTTTTTTGGTTGGGAGGCTATTAATGACTGCCTCAATTTCAGAACTTGTTATTGGTCTATTCAGGGATTCCACTTCTTCCCGGTTTAGTCTTAGGAGGGTGTATGTGTCCAGGAATTTATGCATTTCTTCTAGATTTTCTAGTTTATTTGTGTAGAGGTGTTTATAGTATTCTCTGATGGTAGTTTGTATTTCTGTGGGATCAGTGGTGATATCCCCTTTATTTTTATTGCATCTATTTGATTCTTCTCTCTTTTATTCTTTATTAGTCTGGCTACCAATCTATCTATTTTGTTGATCTTTTAAAAAAAAAACAGCTCCTGGATTCGTTGATTTTTTTGAAGTATTTTATTTTGTGTTTCTAACTCCTTCAGTTCTGCTCTGATCTTAGTTATTTCTTGCCTTGTGCTAGCTTGTGAATTTGTATGCTCTTGCTTCTCTGTTCTTTTAATTTTGATGGTAGAGTGTCAATTTTAGATCTTTCCTTCTTTCTCTTGTGGGCATTTAGTGCTATAAATTTCTCTCTAACCACTGCTTTAAATGTGTTCCAGAGATTCTGGTACTTTGTGTCTTTGTTCTCATTGGTTTCAAAGAACATCTTCATTTCTGCCTTAATTTCGTTACTTACCCAGTAGTCATTCAGGAGCAGGTTGTTCAGTTTCCATGTAGTTGTGTGGTTTTGAGTGAGTTTCTTAATCTGCAGTTCTTTATTTGCAGTTCTAATTTGATTGCCCTGTGGTCTGAGAGACTGTTATGATTTCCATTCTTTTGCATTTGCTGAGGCATGTTTTACTTCCAATTATGTGGTTAATTTTAGAATAAGTGCAAGGTCGTGCTGAGAATGTATATTCTGTTGATTTGGGGTGGAGAGTTCTGTAGATGTCTATTAGGTCCGCTTGTTCCGGAGCCGAGTTCAAGTCCTGAATATTCTTTTTAATTTTCTGTCTCGATCTGTCTAATATTGACAATGGGGTATTAAAGTCTCCCACTATTATTGTATGGGAGCCTAAGTCTCTTTGTAGGTCTCTAAGAACTTGCTTTATGAATCTGGGTGCTCCTGTACTGGGAGCATATATATTTAGGATAGTTAGCTCTTCTTGTTGCATGATCCCTTTACCATTATGTAATGCCCTTCTTTGTCTCTTTTGATCTTTGTTGGTTTAAAGTTTGTTTTATCAGAGACTAGAATTGCAACCCCTGCTTTTTTTTGCTTTCCATTTACTTGGTAAATATTCCTCCATCCCTTTATTTTGAGCCTATGTGTGTCTTTGCACATGAGATGGGTCTCCTGAATACAGCACACCAATGGGTCTTGACCCTTTATCCAATTTGCCAGTCTGTGTCTTTTAATTGGGGCAATTAGCCCATTAACATTTAAGGTTAACATTGCTATGTGTGAATTTGATCCTGTCATTATGATGTTAGCTGGTTATTTTGCCCATTAGTTGATGCCGTTTCTTTGTAGTGTTGATGGTCTTTACAATTTGATATGTTTTTGCAGTGGCTGGTACTGGTTGTTCCTTTCCATGTTTAGTGCTTCCTTCAGGAGCTCTTGTAAGGCAGGCCTGGTGGTGACAAATTCTCTCAGCATTTGCTTGTCTGTAAAGGATTTTATTTCTCCTTCACTTATGAAGCTTAGTTTGGCTGGATATGAAATTCTGGGTTGAAAATTATTTTCTTTGAGAATGTTGAATGTTGGCCTCCACTCTCTTCTGGCTTATAGGATTTCTGCTGATTAATCTGCTGTTAGTCTGATGGGCTTCCCTTTGTGGGTAACCAGACGTTTCTCTCTGGCTGTAGTTAACATTTTTCCCTTCATTTCAACCTTGGTGAATCTGATGATTATGTGTCTTGGGGTTGCTGTTCTGGAGGAGAATCTTCGTGGCGTTCTCTGTATTTCCTGAGTTTGAATGTTGGCCCGTCTTGCTAGGTTGGGGAAGTTCTCCTGGATAATATCCTGAAGAGTGTTTTCCAACTTTGTTCCATTCTCCCTGTCACTTTCAGGTACACCAATCAAATGTAGTTTTGGTCTTTTCACATAGTCTCATATTTCTTGGAGGCTTTGTTCATTCCTTTTCATTCTTTTCTCTCTAGTCTTGTCTTCTTGCTTTACTTCATTGAGTTGATATTGAATCTCTGATATCCTTTCTTCTGCTTGATCAATTTGGCTTTTGATACTTGTGTATGCTTCATAAAGTTCTCGTGCTGTGCTTTTCAGCTCCATTAGGTCATTTATGTTCTTCTCTAAACTGGTTATTCTAGTTAGCAATTCATCTAACCTTCTTTCAAGGTTCTTAGCTTCCTTGCATTGGGTTAGAGCATGCTCCTTTAGCTCGGAGGAGTTTGTTATTATCCACCTTCTAAAGCCTACTTCTGTCAATTTGTCAAACTCATTCTCCATCCAGTTTTGTTCCCTTCCAGGCAGGGAGTTGTGATCCTTTGGAGGAGAAGAGGCATTCTGCTTTTTGGAATTTTCAGCCGTTTTGCACTGGTTTCTTCCCATCTTCGTGGATTTATCAACCTTTGGTGTTTGATGTTGGTGACCTTTGGATGGGGTCTCTGAGTGGACGTCCTTTTTATTGATGTTGATGCTATTCCTTTCTGTGTGTTAGTTTTCATTCTAACAGTCAGGCCCGTTTGCTGCAGGTCTGCTGGAGTTTGCTGGAGGTTTGCACCAGGCCCTCTTTTCCTGGGTATCACCAGCAGAGGCTGCAGAACAGCAAAGATTGCTGCCTGTTCCTTCCTCTGCAAGCTTGATCCCAGAGGAGCACCTGCCAGATGCCAGCCAGAGCTCTCCTGTAGGAGGTGTCTGTCGACCTCTACTGGGAAGTGTCTTCCAGTCAGGAGACATGGGGGTCAGTGACCCACTTGAGGAGGCAGTCTGACCCTTACCAGAGCTCAAGCACTGTACTGGGAGATCTGCTGTTCTCTTCAGAGTCATCAGGCAGGACGTTTAAGTCAGCTGAAGCTGTGCCCACAGCCACCTCTTCCCCCAGGTGCTCTGTCCCAGGGAGATGGGGGTTTTATTTATAAGCCTCTGACTGGGGCTGCTGCCTTTGTTTCAGAGATGCCCTGCCCAGAGAGGAGGAATCTAGTGAGGCAGTCCGGCCACAGTGGCCTTGCTGAGCTGTGGTGGTCTCTGTCCAGTTCGAACTTCCTGATAGCTTTGTTTACACTGTGAGGGTAAAACCACCTACTCAAGTCTCAGCAATGGTGGATGCCCCTCCCCGCACCAAGCTCAAGCATCCCAGGTTGACCTCAGACTGCTGTGCTGGCAGTGAGAATTTCAAGCCAGTGGATCTCAGCTTGCTGGGCTCTGTGGGGGTGGGACCCACCGAGCCAGACAACTTGGCTCCCTGGCTTCAGCCCCCTTTCCAGGGGAGTGAATGGTTCTGTCTCATTGGTGTTCCAGGTGCCACTGGAGTATGAAAAAAAAAAAAAATTCCTGCAGCTAGCTCGGTGTCTGCCCAAATAGCTGCCCAGTTTTGTGCTTGACACCTAGGGTCCTGGTGGTGTAGGCACCGGGGGGAATCTCCTGGTCTGCAGGTTGCAAAGACCATGGGGAGAGTGCATTATCTAGGCTGGAGTGCACTGTTCACAGTCCCTCCCAGCTTTCCTTGGCTAGGGCAGGGAACTCCCCAACCCCTTGTGCTTCCCAGGTGAGGCAATGCCCCACTCTGCTTCGGCTCGCACCCACTGTCCAACCAGTCCCAGTGAGATAAAGCGGGTACCTCAGTTGGAAATGCAAAATCACCCGCCTTCTGCGTCTCTCTCACTGGGAGCTGTGGACCGGAGCTGTTCCTATTTGGCCACCTTGCCAGCAATCATGTTGATTGATTTTTAAGTGGGAAACTAACATTGCGTTATTGAAATTAACCCTGACTTGTTGTGATGTACTAGTCTTTATTTGGTAATTTTTAAAAGCATTTTCTTCTAGAAATTGGCCTATAATTTTCCTTTCTTGTATGTTTTAGAATTAAGATCATATTGGCCTTACAAAAAAGTAGAGAAGTGTTTCCTCTTTCTATCCCCTAAGAGAATTTATGTAAGATTGTTGTTATTTCCTCATTTAATGTTTGAAAGAAATCACCGGTGAAACCACTGAATCTGGAGTTTTACTTGTGTGAACGTTTTTAATTATAGGTTAGGTTTTTAAAATAGATATATGAATTTTTTTTCTCTTTGTGTCCATTTTGGTAGGCTATGTTTTTCTAGGGATTTCTCAGTTTCACCACAATTTTAAATGACATAATTATTGATTATATTCCTTATTAATCTATTCGATATCTATATAACTTGATGGATGTTTCATTTTTCTTCCTAATAGTGAAAATTTGTGTCTTTGCTTCTATTTATGATGTCATGCTAAAGGGCCTATCAATTTTATTGTTCTTTTCAAATAATACACTTTGGGTTTTGTTTATTTTTTCTAGTGAACATCTGTTTTATATTTTTCTGCTCCTATATTCATTCTACATTTTAATCCCCATAAGACATTAAATTATTGACATATATGGTGAATATTTACTTACATTTACCCTCATATCATCTCTTTTTATTTTTCTTTATTATTTTCTCATGTTTCCATGCTTCTGTGTGGGACCATTTTTCTTTTGTCTGCGGAATTCCTTTTAGTATTTCTTTTAGTTCACATCTGCTAATGATGAATATTTTCACTCTTGTTTATCTAGAAATGTCTTCAATTTGCCTTCATTTTTGAATAGTATTTTTGCTTGGTACAGAGTTCTAGATGGGCAATTATTTTCTTTCAGCACCTTTTGCTTTTCATATTTTTTCTTTTTCTTTTTTTTTAGAAATGTGGTCTAAGTTCCCCAGGCTGGTCTCAAATTCCTGGGCTCAAGTGATACTCCTGCCTCATCCTTCCATGTAGCTGAGATTACAGGTGTGAGCTACCACACCCAACTCTTTCAGCACTTTTTAAATGTTATTTCATTGTCTTCCATCTTCCATCATCTCAGCTGAGGAGTGAATTTAAGTCTTTTGTTGCTTTTACAACTACTATGCTTTTTTTAAAATCTAACTGCCTGAAAGATTTTCACTTGTCTTTGGTTTTAACAGTTTGGCTATAATGTGCTTAGGTTGTATTTTTAAAATTCATCTTACTTTGGGTTTGTAGGCTTGAATCTGAGGCTTGTCTTTCATTAATTTCAGAGAATTTTGCAGCCATTATTTATTAAAATATTGCTTCTGATCTGATATGGTTTGGCTCTGTGTCCTCACCGAGATCTCATCTTGAATTTTAATCTGAATTGTAATCCCCACATGTTCAGAGAGGGACCTCATGGGAGGTGAATGAATTACGGGGGCAGTTCCCCCATGCTGTTCTCGTGATAGTGAATGAGTTCTCACAAGATCTGATGGTTTTGTGAAGGGCTTCCCCCACCCCTTTGTTCTGCACTTCTCTCATTCTTCTTCTTCCTGCCACCATGTGAAGAAGGACATGTTTCCATCCTCTTCCACCATGATTGTAAGTTTCCTGAGGCTTCCCCAGCCATGCAGAACTGAGTCAATTAAACCTCTTTCCTTTATAAATTAACCAGTCTCAGGCAGTTCTTTATAGCAGCATGAGAACAAACTGATACATGACCCATTCTTGTACTTTTCTCTTTTGGAGACTTTAATTTCAAAAGTACACAGTACTCTCTTTTCTATATTACCCACCCTTTTTAAACATTATGCTTCAGTTTGCATATTTTCTATTCACTTTTCTTCTAGTTTACTACTATTTTGGTCTTGTATGGCTAATGTGCTGTTAAACTCTTTTATTGAGTACTTAATTTCAGTTTTTGAATTTTTCAGTTCTAGTATTTCTATTTTATGGATTCAAATTTTCTAGTAAAATTCTCCATTTTTCTCTATTATCTTGACATATTAATCATAGCTATCTTAAATTATTTTTCTAATAATTCTAATATTTGGCTTTCCTTGAAACTGTTTTTATTGTGTTTTTTCTATTGTTATTTTTCAGTCATAAGGTGTGCCATGCCTAGCAACTTTTTATTAAATGTCGCACATTGTGTATGAAAATGTTTAGGGGTTGTGGATGATTTTATCTTATCTTCCTTCAGTGATTACTATTTCCTTTGCTAGCAGATCAAGTAGGCGATTAATGCTTTGTTCCCATTCGAGACTGAGATGACTACAGGTTCAGTTTACTTCTAGATCAATCCTGACTCTTCGGTCATAGCATCTAGGTGTTTCACCTGAGGACTTATGGAGGTCTGACATCTAATACCTCCCTTTTCAGCAATAAGTGATTACCAAAACCTGTGCACTACTTACCAGAGGTTTTTATTTGGCCTCTAATCTCCATCCCAGCACAGCCCGAGAATTCAGCAAATGTCTTTAGGCAAGTCCAACAAAGTATCGAGGTCAGTTTCTCACTTCTCTTTCCTTATAAAAATCAAGCCTCTATGACTTTTTGTCTTTCCAGTGTGAGATGGCAAAAGGCTTCATTGGTTTCTCTGCCTCTTAGTAGCAATCCTCTTCCTGATCCCTTTGCTTGAATTCTTCTTTTATTGCTCTATACCTAGAATTTAAAAATGTCCTGAGGAAAAAAGAGACTGCATAATGTCAGCTCAATTCTCTATATGGTTCTCCCTTCTCCAAGGTTTTGTCCCGTTAATTACTATTTTCCTCTGTAGCTCTTTGATTACTTCAAACATATATTTAAAATATATATTTTTCTAACTTCTCTAGCTGATCTTAGAAGAAGCGTTATTCTGTCTGAACTATTCCATCATACCTGAAAGTTAGTGAGTTTTGTTTGTTTGTTTGTTTTTGAGATGGAGTCTCACTCTGTTGCCCAGGCTAGATAGATGGTAATGGCATGACCTTGGTTCACTGCAACCTTTGCCACCTGGGTTCAAGCGATTCTCCGACCTCAGCCTCCCGAGTAGCTGGGATTGCAGGCACTCACCATCATGCCCGGCTTTTTTTTTTTTTTTTTTTTTTTTTGAGACGGAGTTTCGCTCGTCACCCAGGCTGGAGTACAATGGCACGATCTTGGCTCACAGCAACCTCCGCCTCCCGGGTTCAAGTGATTCTTCTGCTTCAGCCTCTCGAGTAGCTGGGATTACACGCATGCACCACCATGCCCAGCTGATTTTGTATTTTTAGTAGAGATGGGGTTTCTCCATGTTGGTCCGGCTGGTTTTGAACTCCTGACCTAAGGTGATCCACCCGCCTTGGCCTCCCAAAGTGCTGGGTTTACAGGCATGAGCCACCACGCCCGGCCATGCCTGGCTAATTTTTTTTTATGTTTTTGTAGAGAGGGGATTTAACCATGTTGGCCAGTCTTGTTTTGAACTCCTGACCTTGGGTGATCCACCTGCCTCAGCCTCCCAAAGTGCTGGGATTACAGGTGTGAGCCACCGCACCTGGCCAAGTTTTCTTTTTTAAACAAAAATTTTATAATATTCTACTCAGCTTGAGTTATTTTTTTGCCTACAGAATAAAATCCAAACTTCTTACCAGGTTAGAGAAGTTCCTTTTACCACCTAGTGTTAGGAAATCTTTCCAGCTTCATCTCCTGCTACTCCCTTTCATTCACCCTATAACTCAGTCAAATTGAACTGCTCATGAATCCTCAAATATACCATGCTTTTCCACCGTTTTAAGCCTTTGCACAAGCCATATCTCTTGCTAAAAATTCCCTTTCCCTTTTCTCTCTTCCCAAGCTACTACTGATCAGTAAGGCTCATCTTAAATGCCACTTCCTCTATGAAGCTTTGCCTGTGCTCCAAGAAAAAAGTTAGATACTCCTTCTTTTAAATATCTATGTTCATACTACTATTTTAACACTTTCTTTGTTATAATGTATGTTAATCTGTTTATCTTCTCCAGTAGACCCTGAGATACTTGAAGGTAAGAATATGACATTATGATTACTTGTATCTTCAATGTCCAGAATAGTACTTGGCATATATTAAGCTCAAGTTTAGGAGTCTTCATTGTATATAGTTCTTACTAAAAGCCCTTGGAATTCTTTTCTACCTGCTATCCCAATCAATCTACTTTTCCTCTTTTCCTTCATAGTCAAACTTTAGCCACAAATGGTCTAAAACTCTGCCTTAATTATCTCAATTTCCACAATATCAAATATTTCTTTTACTAAAATTTGGCAATTGCCCTACGACTTTACAGAAACAACACTCTTGAAATTGCCCAAAATTTCCTTCTCACTGTATACTGCGTTTTTTATTAATTGATCCTGTGAACTTCAGAATTGATGTACATCTTGTTTTAAAATCATTTGTATATAATTTATTTACCTGACAGACTATTAAAAATTGATAGAATTTTTGTGTGTATTAATACCACAAAAAGTCTTAAACTTAGTAAGTCAGATAAAGAATGAAGGCCATCTTCAAAGATCTTACTACAGTTCTATCCTTCTATGTCTCCTTTGTATCAGCTGAGACTGCTTACTATCTTCTTCAAATCTCTTTCCTCACAGGGAAGAGACAATACCTCCATCTGGCTCTATACTACTTCTACTACTTCTATGTGTTAAATCATGTGGGAATGAAAGAGAATTCAAAGGGTAAATGGCACAAATGTGATTGGATTTAGCCAGAAGAGGAAGTAGTAATCAGGGTAGGACCAGCTGCATGATGAAAAATGTCACTATCATTTTGACCATGAGATAGCATCAGGGATTTCATCATAATCAAAAAGATTTGTGATGGTCACAGGCAGTTTCAACCTTTCTGGTATTCAGAATCATGATATAGGGACTGAGGATATGAGTATCTCAAAATACTGAGTAAAGATCGATGTTGTCCATTTGGCTGAGAGTGATAACAGGTAGAGCCCAAACTGCTTAGAGAAAAGAAAACAAGCAAAAGAATAAAGGAAAGTTGCACTAGATGACTGGCTAAAAAGGTATACTGCTCTTTAATATGAGTAGAACACTAGTCACAAGGATCAAGAGTAAATCAGGAGGGAGTAGAAAGAATTGCTTGAACTCACAGTGGCTAAGCATGAAATTGCCACTGTAGTTCCTAGTCCTACCCAGTTTATTTCCACTCCAGAATAGGGATAGAGTTTGGCACGATGTAAACTTTTCTAGCTTCTCTTTTTCTTCCCATTCCAGCTGTGGCCATTCTCCCATATTCTCTATTTTTATCCCTCTTCCGTCTATTGCTTCTCTTCAGAGTCTCATTTTGCTTACCTTATTTCAATCATTATATCTTTTCAGATGTCTCTGTTTTGCTGCCTTCTGGAGTGTAGGCAATCATCAAATCTATAGATCTCTAGCCTTATCCTGTGTAGTAAGACCCACATATTTCAAATTTCCTACTAAACATTACCATCTCACAAAATTCCTCAGTAAAATACTAGCAAACTGACTTCAATAACACGTCAAAAATATTATACACCATGACCAAGTGAGATTTGTCCCTGAGATGCAAGATGAGTTCAACATATACAAATCAATCAATGTCATATGCTACAAAACAGAATGAAAGTTAAAAACCATGTGATCATCTTAATAGATGCAGAAAAGCATTTGACAAAGTTCAACATCCATTTATGATAAACACTCAACAAAATAGGAATAGATAGAAATTCCCTCAACATATCAGGTCATTTACGAAAAGCTTACAGCTAACATCATAATCCATGGAGAAAAACTGAAAATTTTTCCTCTAAGATCCAGTACAAAGCAACAATGCCCATCATCACTACTTCTATTCAATCTAGTAGTAGAAGTACTGGCAAGAGCAATCAGACAAGAAAAAGAAATAAAAAGTGTCCACTTGGAAAGAAGAGGTAAAATTATCCCTATTTACAGATGGCATGATTCTATATGTAGAAAATACTAAAGGCTCCAGAAAAAAAAAACACGATTTGACTAATAAACAAATTCATTAAAGTTGTAGAATACAAAATCAGGATACAAAAATCAGTTGCATTTATATACACCAATAACAAACCATCTGAAAGAAAATCAAGAAAGTAACCCTATTTATGATAGCATCAAAAAGAATAAAATACTTAGGAATTAATTTAACCAGAGAAGTGAAAGATTTGAAAACTGAAAAGTATAAAACATTGATTTAAAAAATTGAAGAAGACACAAATAAATGGAAAGATACTCTATGTTCATGGATTGGAAAACATTAATATTATTAAAATGTCCATACTACAAAAAGTAATCTACAGATTGAATGCAATTTCTATGAAAATTTCAGACATTTTTCACAAAAATAGAAAAACCCATTCTAGAATTTGTATGAAACCACAAAAGACCATGAGTAGCAAAAGCAGTCTTGAGAAAGGAAAATAAAGTTGGAGGAATTACATTTCCTGATTTCAAATTATATTACAAAGTTATAGTATCTTAACAGTATGATATTAGTATACAACCACATGCATAGACCAATGGATCAGAATAGGGAGCCCAGAAATAAACCCACACATTTATCAACTGACCTTCAACAAGGACACCAGTAAGACACAATAGGAAAAAGATAGTCTATTCCACAAATGGTGCTGGGAAAACTGGATATCCACATACAAAGGAATGAAATTGGCCCCCCTTTTTTAACACCATATACAAAAATCAGCTCAAAATGGATTAAAGGTTTAAATGTGACCTGAAACTAAAGAACTTCTAGAAATAAGTCGGGAGAAAAACTTTTTGATCTTGGCTTTGGCAATTATTTCTTAACACACATAAAAAATTCAGGCAACAGAAGCAAAAATAAACAAGTGGGACAATATCAAACTAAAAAGCTTCTGCACAGCAAAGAGAGCAATCAACAAAATGAAAAGGCACTCTATGAATTGGGAGAAAATATTTGCAAACCATATATCTGGTAAAGGGTTAATATCCACAACATATAAGAAACTCACACAACTCAATAACAAAAAAACAAACAACCCGATTTAAAAATGGGCAAAGGACTTGCAACAGACATTTTTCTGAGGAAGACATACCAATGGCCAACAGATATATGAAAAGGTATTCAACATCACTAATCATCAAGGAAATACAAATTAAAACTACTATGAGATATCACCTTACACCTGTTAGGATGGCTATTATCAAAAAGACAAGCGATAAGTATTGGTGAGGGTATGGAGAAAAGGGAAGCATGTACACTATTTGTGGGAATGTAAATTGGTACAGCCCCATTCATAAAAAACAGCACAGAGGTTCCTCAAAAAATTAAAAATAGAATTGCCACATTATCTAGCTCTCCCACTTCTGGGTATATATCCAAACACAATGAAATCAGCACCTCGAAAAGATCATCTGAACTCCCATGTTCACTGCAGCATAATTCATAACAGCTAAGATATAGAAACAACCTGCATCTGTTGATGGATGAATGGATAGAAAGAATGTGATGTATGTGTACATATACACACTTATATACACACACCCAATGGAATATTAGGCAGCCTTAAAAAAGAAGGAGATCATGCCTGTAATCCCAGCACTTTGGGAGGCTGAGGTGGGCGGATCACAAGGTCAGGAAATCGAGACCATACTGGCTAACACAGTGAAACCCCATCTCTACTAAAAATACAAAAAATTAGCCAGGCGCAGTGGCGGGCGCCTGTAGTCCCAGCTACTCGGGAGGCTGAGGCAGGAGAATGGCATGAACCCGGGAGGTGGAGCTTGCAGTGAGACGAGATTGCGCCACTGCACTCCAGCCTGGGTGAAAGAGCAAGACACCATCTCAAAAAAAAAAAAAAAAAAAAAAAAAAAAAAAAAGAAAAAGGAGATCCTGTCATTTACAACAACATGGATGAAGCTGGTGGACATTATGCTAAGTGAAATCAGCCATGCGTGGAAAGAAAACCAGTTCATGATCCCACTTACATGTGGAATCTAAAAAAGTCATACATAGAAACAGAGAGTAGAACAGTGCTTCCCAGGGGCAGAGAGTTGGAGAAACATGAAGACGTTGGTCAAAGGGTACAAAGTTGCAGTTCTGTAGGATGAAGGAGTTTAGAGATCTAACGTACAGCATGGTGACCATAGTTAATAATACTGTGTTGTATACCGGAAATTTGCTGAGAGACTTCAAG
Organism: Homo sapiens; assembly: GCF_000001405.40. Classification (NCBI taxonomy): domain Eukaryota; kingdom Metazoa; phylum Chordata; class Mammalia; order Primates; family Hominidae; genus Homo; species Homo sapiens. Next base: position 2,277,997 of record NC_000006.12, on the reverse strand, counting down.
TGCTCTCACTCTAAAACAAAAAAAATGGGGTGACTATGTGAAGAGATGAATGTATTAATTTGCACGACTTTAGTAATCATTTCACTATGTATATGTGTTTCAAAATATCATGTCAGGCCGGGCGTGGTGGCTCATGCCTGTAATTCCAGCACTTTGGGAGGCTGAGGCAAGCAGATTGCCTGAGGTCAGGAGTTCGAGACCAGCCTGGCCAACATGGTGAAACCCCATCTCTACTAAAAATACAAAAATTAGCCGGACGTGGTGGCAGGCACCTGTAGTATCAGCTACTCAGGAGGCTGAAGCAGGAGAATGGCTTGAACCCGGGAGGCGAAACTTGCAATGAGCCGAGAACGCACCACTACACTCTAGCCTGGGCAACAGAACAAGACTCTGTCTCAAAAAAAAAAAAAAAAAAAAAAAATCCCAGCACTTTGGGAGGCCAAGGTGGGCAGATCACGAGGTCAGGAGATCGAGACCATCCTGGCTAACACGTTGAAACCCCGTCTCTACTAAAAATACAGAAAATTAGCTGGGCATGGTGGCAGGTGCCTGTAGTCTCAGCTACTCGGGAGGCTGAGACAGGAGAATGGCTTGAACCTGGGAGGCAGAGCTTGCAATGAGCCAAGATCGCACCACTGCACTCCAGCCTGGGCAACAGTGCGAGACTCCGTCTAAAAATAAATAAATAAATAAAAAAATAAAAAACAAAACAAAATATCCTGTTTCACACCTGAAATATATGAGATTTTAAAATTATTTTAATATGCTTCTTTCATCTCAAAATCAGACATCAATTCCCCCTCAAACCTTTTCTGACTTCCCTATTTCTTTTACTATTTAACCAGCCTGGCTATTATAGGCTATGAGGCTGAGTCTGTGTAAGGAACCATTCATCTAGCAGTGGTGACTATGCATTAGAATCACCTGGGGAGCTTTCAAAACATACCAATGCCAAAAAAAAAAAAAAAAAAAAAACAATGCCTGCACTGAACCCTGGACAAATGGAATCAGAACCACCTAGGGGAGAGTGTGAAGTCTGTTCCAGTCCCAGTCTGGGCTTTTGTTTCTCACCTGTAAAATGGATATAATATTATTTTCCATATGGAATTGTCGTGAAGATGAAAAATAAACTATGTAATTCACCTACCACAATACCTGGTACATAACTGGGGGCTCAGTGAATGGTTTCTATTAATAAGAATAATACCTTTATTTTCCTGTTATTCTAATCACTGAAGTTCATGGTAACTCCCACTTCTCTGGGTCCTCATTCCCTACATTCAGTTATGCCAAGCTTTATCAATTCAAATTTTAAAATACCACTGGATTCATTCTCTGCTTCAAATCCTTTTCTCTCCTACAGTTTAGTACAAAAAATTTTAAATATATAACAAAGTTGAAAGAATTGTATAGCGAATGTGCATATACTCACCACCTAGGTTCTACCATGAACATGTTAACTACACTTGCTTTATCACATAACTCTTCATCCATTGATCCGTCTTAGTTTCTGATACACTTTAGATTACAGACAACAGTGCACTTCCCTCTAAATGCAATCATTAACTAGAGTTCCATGTTTACAGTTTTTGTTTCTGTGACAAAACTTACATATAATGTAGTGCACAAATCTTACGTGTACATTTACTGATTCATTTTACAAATGAATATACCCTTTGAACCCAAATTCCTAACAAGATATAGAATATTACCATTACCCCAAAAAGTTTTCTCATGCTTTCCCCATCAATGGCCACCTTTCCTCCCCAAAACAACTTCGGTTCCAATTTTTTCCAACACAGAGAAGTTTTGTCAGGCCCTTATTAATTCACACCAACCTAGACTATGAGGTAGTCTTCAAACTGGTTTTCCTGCCTCAACTAGAATCACTCTTTACCTTTAATTAACCTTTCATCCAGATGCTACAATAATCTCCTAAAGCACCACTTTGTCACGTCACCACTCCACCCTGCACCATTTCATAAGCTCCCACTGCCTGTGAAGTCCAAGCTGGCCCCAGCCTGTTTTTAGGTTCATCCCTACCACTCCTGAAGTATAAAACTTTGAACTTCTTTCAAGGCATTACACACTTCCTTGGGTTTAGTTAGTTGTAGAAAACTGGACTGTAAGCATCTTGAAAACTCAAGTGGTATCCTAAGTATCTTTTTATCTGCTGCAGCACGTGATGACACTTCCTTGCACATAATTAGCAGCCAATAGATAAGCATGGAATAAACTAATGGTTACATTTTAAGAAGGAAATGAATGAGTCTTTAACTCCCTGACACTGCCCTGGCGTTAACTTGGATTGGTTATATTTACTGTTTCTATCTCATAAGAATGTGGTGAGGTCACTGTATAACAATTCCTCAAGGAACCCTATAAGATTCAGGGATCAAAAAGAGAGGGGGATGTAAGGGGAATCCACTGAAAATTTCTGACTGGAACTCTACAGTGTGATCTTATGCTACAAAAAGATTGAAACTTCGATTTTTTAAAGTTAGTTCTTGTCTTGTTAATTCAATAAGAAGCTGAATTAACTAACTCTCCAGTTTCAAGTGTACAGCTTAGAGCAGTGGATCTCAACCTTGGCTGCATATTAGAAGCATCTGGGGAGCTTTTAAAACTTACTGGTGCCCACACTCCACCCCCAGCCATTTTGATTCCATTTGTCTGGGGTTCAGTGCAGGCACGGGTATGTTTTGAAAGCTCCCAAGGTGATTCTAATGTGCAGTCACCACTGCTAGATGAATGGTTCCTCACACAGACTCAGCCCCACAGCCTGTGATAAATACACAAGCAAATTTACTGCCGCCTCCTCTCCCTCCAGAGACCCAGTGTGAAAGGAAAGAGAAAATTCCTAGTCAAAGAGGATAATTTGTTTTGTGCCACTCCTGGCAGAGTACGGCATGTGTGTGTGTGCGCACCACAGAGGAGGGGTGTGGGTCTTTGCAGCAGCTACAGGTTCTCAGAGAGCGGGGCCCTTCCCCTTAGCTGCAGGAAGGCTAGGTCAGCAGCTGCCAGGCAGGAAAGGTAGTCACATAAGGTTCATGTGAATCCTGTTGCTTCAGACTGTCCCAGTGAGAGGCCATCATGCCTCTTAATCACATGGGCAATGACTAGGAGGGTAGGGGGAGGAGGTTCTCAGCAAAAATAACCATCAAACCTTTTAAAACACAGATGCTGAAGATAGCCACATACTACTTGTATTTCAAACATAAAGTCGGGGCCTGTCGCATGGAAGGGTAGACACGAGTAGATGTGTCAGTCAAGTTTCTGTGTAACAACCAAAGTAGGCCAGGGCTCCCCAGCCTTTCCTTTTCAGGGCAGTAATGGAAAATAGTACAGTTTTCCATATGTTGGGTAAACTAAAGGCAATGGTGAGGGCATCTGTGTTGAACTTAGTGAAAAAAAAATCATTTCTTTATATTACATGATTAAAAGAAAACTAAAATGCTAAGTATACAGGAAAGTATTAAATGCTGAGTTTAAAATTTCCAAATAAAATGTGATCAAAATTTCAATGAGAAAATGAACTTCTTTTTAGAATAATTCTTTTTCTTCTGAACCCCAGTGGGTTTTTATACCCTTCAGTTGTATCAGTGGTCCCTGCTAGGCTGATTGTTCCCTTATCCCACTCTCATTATCACTGCCCTGCCCCTCCCAAAGGGCAACCACTCTATTCTGTTTCATGTGTATTTTTTATTTGTCTGTGCTCTTATAAAATGTGCTTTGTTGCTTTGTATGATGTACTTTTAATTTGTGTAGATAGCATTGTGTTCTATACCTCATTTTATTCCTTTGCTTTGTTTTCAGCACAATCCAAAGTGTTCTGTGTATTTTTCATCCTCTACTTCCCATTGTTGCATGGCACTCCATGGAGTGCAGACACATGGTTCACCTACCCACACGCAGGCTGCTTTCAATACTTTGTCACCATGAACAGCATGCATTTTCTGCAACTGAAGGAAACCGCTTTCCTGTCCTCAACTGGAATTCAGATCATTTGCTCCTTTAATTTATACTTCTTTAAGTCTAACAGCTAGCTATTCCTATTGTGGAATGCAAATGTTAAATCATAATGCAAATGGATTTCCAGTTCAATTAAACTTTTTCTTTGTTTTTAGAGACAGGATCCTGCTATGTTGCCCAGGCTGGAGTGCAGTGGTTATTCACAGGCATGATCATAACATACTACAGCCTTGAACTCCTAGGCTCAAGCAATCCTCCAGCCTCAGCCTCCTGAGTAGCTGGGACTACAGGTGTGAATCACTGCACCTGGCTAAAACTGAACTTTTTTACATCAAGTATTCAGAAATAATAATTTTTTCCTCAAGCATATCACCATTATACTTGTAACTTCATTGTTTTGAATTCCGTTCAAAGATTAAAATCATAACCCCAGTAAGTGTCTCCAGTGAACTTTGTTGTGCCCCATTTTCCCAGGTTGAAGTTTTGCTGTGCTTCCTTAAATTTTGTCAGTACACAATAACATATTTTCACACAGCTCTTATAATTTTCCTGTCCCAAGTAAAAGTTACCACTATAAACATCTTTTGCAGTTGTCATGTGTTGCTTACCTGTCTTTTCTCTCCAGTAACAGACCTGACCTGTTGCAGGTGGGGAGTCTGCCACTGAGAACAGCAAGAGGTAGCTGGTTTCTTCTCCCTTTTTGCAGTCTGGCTGCTACCCTTCCTCCCATCTTGCAGAAGATGGTTTCTGACCCTTCTCTGGGATGGGAAATTAGGAGTGAGGAAAGGAGAGGCACAACATTTTTGCTACTGCCAGAGTTGCATTGCTCTCTTTGGATGTAGCAGGTTTAAAACTAGGGTTTTCTCATCTGTGGTATCCTTGTTGTAGGTAATACACTCTGCTCCTACTCAAAATTAAGATCTTGCCTCAGCCCTGAGGAACTGGCAGTTCATCTGTGGATTCTTTTCACTGATAGCCTTTTGTCCCTCTGGGCAGTCTTTTGGTGGACCTAAGTCACCCCCTGGTTCATTCTTGCATAAGATCTGCACCTGGTCCTTGGGCTCCATCCATGCATGTTTTTAGGCCCTCCCAGCACAGCAGAAATCTCTCCTCGACCAGCTCTGAAGAGCAGCTGACCAGCTCAGTTCCCATCTCTCCTGATCCCTGGTCAAGAGGCAGAGGCCAGTCCTCTGTGAGTCCTCTGTGTCTCCCATACCATAAGAGAACACACATCCCATCACACATTACCATTAAAACTCCATTCCCGGGACTTCAGGAGAGTTTAGACGGTTTCATCCTCCAGCATTTCCACACACAGAGAGAGTGAGGCTCACAAAACATCAGCAGTTCTCTCCAAAAGCACCCTCCAAGTCTCCTTCGGTCTCCACTGACACAGGTGAGTCGTGGGACATCATCTCATTGGCTCTCTGCCCCTCCTTTCTGCATGTCCTGCACAGCTGTGGTCCTCACACTTCACTCTGGCATTGCATGTCCAGGGTCTTAGGGTCTCAGCTGAAAGTTTCTTGGAACACTCTGTTGCATGTACATTATGATGCCCTGGCTGAGGCGGGTTGATGGCTTTTGATGAAAACAACAGAAGTTGACAGGAAAACAACAGAAGTTGACAGGAGAACAAAAGCATGCACACTGTGTAAAAACTTGTGGTCCAGCTCGTCCATGATTCTGCAGCTAGCATGGTTCCCTCCTGCAAAGTATACCTGCTCTCTTTGAAACCGACATTAAAAATCAGAAAATCCCAGCTTCTCTTAGTAGCCATATTCAGCAGTTTCTCAGATTAATGCAGTCTTTTTGAGGCCTATTTTTTTTTTAAGTTTTCCAGAAGGAAGAAAGGGCCAGGGCAGGGGTTTGTTACCGGAAAAAGGGTCTTATCCCAGATGCCAAGAGTGAGTTCTTGAATCTCTCACGGGAAAGAATTCAGGGTCTTTATTTACTTAGCATCATTAACTTATTCCCTCAACCTTAAATATCTTGTGACCAGGACTGCCCAATCCCCTGGGACTATAACCCAGCAGGTTTGGCTTTATCCAGCCTCTATTCAGGATGGGGGCACTCTGGTTAGGACGACTCTGACAGATTCACTGCAGCACCAGCCGAGGGCTCCTCCAGAGCTAAGAGCAGGAGAAGCAAGGCCACCCCAACACACAGGAACCACCAGACTTGAATGGGCAACAGCAAGATTCCAGCAGGAACTATGAGATCCAAAACATCCAGTTATTAGGGGTTGTTACCACAGGAAGGTGCTGAAGTCAGCACAGAGCAGAGGACTTGCAACCAAGAGCTTAAAATTTATTTAAAAACAAACAAACAAAGAATAAGAGTTGTTTGTCTGCTTGTTGGCAATTTTTGAAAGTTTTTATTTGTGCTAATTATCTGGACATGAAAAATATTATAAGGAAATTAACCTTGGTACATTTTCACATATTTTGATGGGTTTCTTAGTTGTACCTGTGTCTAATACTGGTCAATGGCATTTCTCTAAAGACTTTTTATTTGGTGAGTAAACCAAGATGAAAATTCTAAGCCCCCCAACTGACTGAATGGACCCCCCCAGCCAAGAGGATGCCAAAGAAACCTGAAAAACCAGTTCCTGCCATGGTGAGAAGTGGGGTCAGACATGCCTTATTATACCCACTCCCTTTTGCAGTTTAGACACAACTGACCAGCACTCACATTAAAACAGAGATCCTAAGACTCACCGAACAGACTCTTTGTAGCAATCAGACACCAATGTCAACCTGACTCAGCTACAGTATCACATGACACATAACAGGCCCTAAAGGAAATCAAACTAATTTACGCCCAGAATATGTTTCTTTGACATATTCTGAAATGGCCTTGAAAAGCTGTCTCTTGTAGGGGAAATTTACATTCTGTAGAGAATCCCCCTTTCTTTCCAGGTCTTTTCCTGAGCCAGGAGCAATGTGACTGAGTCTGACACGTTTTAAGGTATGTTAAGAGACATTTACCATCTGTTCTCTCCGAAGCCTTCTACCTGAACCTTAACTTCCACAACTCCTCCACCCCCACTGCCACCCCAACACTTACCTTAATTCAAGCTGATGTCAACTCTTCAGGTATAGCTTAACTCTTTCAATCAACTGCTAACCAGGAAAGCTTTGAATACACCTGTGACCTGGACGCCCCTTCCCACCTGCTTCAAGATGTCCTGCCTTTTTTGGCTGAATCAATGTATATCTTAAATGTATTGATCTATGTCACTGCCTGTCACTACTGTCTCCCTAAAATGTATAAAATCAAGCTATAACCCAGTCACCTTGGGCACATGTTCTCAGGACCTCCTGAGGCTGTGTTACTGGCCCCCTCAACTTTGGCAAAATAAACCTCTAAATCAGTTTAGACCTGTCTCATACTTTTTGGTTTACAGGTATCATTATCATTAATTTTCTTTCACAAAATTGCCAGCAATATTATTCAAAGTGGCATTTTGTGGTTACTACCTTTGAGAGCTTTTTGACTCCTTTAATTGACCTTCTCTGTAGATCATGTTATTTCAAATTGAGAAAGTTCTCCCTTCATGGGTCCTAAGGTACCTGGACAGCACCAAGCAAATTCTGTAAATGGTGGGTGTTTTCAATTCTACTTTCTTTGGTATTAAATGTGTAAATATTTCAGTCCCAATATATTCGCAGTTACTGCCTTTTGCCCCTGCCCCTCATCTCTCAGGCTTGTCCTTGCTATAAGCTTCAGAGCAGGTGGACTGATCTCACCATGCCCTTTGCATGTCACTGTGACGTGGCCCAGGGCCCAGGCCTCTCCTGGACTCTGACCTGCATGCTTCCCCATACATCCTTCTATCTGACTTTATTTCTCCGTCTTTTAAGCTCTGGAAACCTTTCCCAAGTACCCTTGAGAATAGTGTTGTCCAAAGGAAATCTCTTACATTTCCTTTGTCTTATATATGACAGTCATATATATAATTTCAAATTATCCAGTAACCACATTTAAAAAGTAAAAAGAAACAGATAAAATTGCCTTAAATATATTTTAATTCAATATATTAAGAAATTATTATTTCAATATACAACCTGGCTGGGTACAGTGGCTCACATCTATAACCCTAGCACTTTAGGAGACTGAGGCAGGAGGATTACTTGAACCCAAGAGTTCAATACCAGCCTGGGCAACAAAGTTAGATCTCGTCTCTACAAAAAATAAAAAAATTAGTTGGGAGTGGTGGCACATACCTGTAGTCCTAGCTACTTGGGAGGCTGAGGCAGGAGGATCCCTTGAGCCCAGGAATTTGAGGTTGCAGTGAGCCATGATTGCACCACTGCACTCCAGCCAGCCTGTGCAACAGAGCGAGATGCTGTCTCAATAACAATAATTTCTATGGGTGGACTGAATGTTTATATCACCCCCAAATTCATAAGATCAAATCCTAACCCCCAATGTGATGGTCCATGGAGGTGGGGCCTTTGGGAGATTAGGTCATGAGAGTAGAAGCCTCATGAATGGGATTAATGCCTTTGTGAAAGGGACCCTAGAGAATTATCTGGCTGTCATTCCACCATGTGAGGATACAACTGGAAATCAGCAGTCTACAACTTGGAAGAGGCTTCTTATCAGATCCCATGATGCTGACTCCTTGAAACTGGACTTACAGCCTCCAAAGCTGTGAGAAAAAACATGTGTTGTTTAAGCCACCCAGTCTATGGCAATCTGTTATAGCAGCCTAAACTAAGTTGAGTGCAGTGGCTCAGTGCAGTGTCACGATCATACCTCACTGCAGTCTCACTTTCCTGAGTTCAAGTGATCCTCCTGCCTCAGCCTCCTGAGTAGTGGGGCCACAGGTATGCATCACCATGGCCAGCTAGTTTTTTTGATTTTTAGTAGAGATGGGGTATTGCTGTGTTGCTCAGGTTGGTCTCAAACTCCAGAGCTCAAGTGATCCTCCCACCTTGGCCTCCCAAAGTGCTGGGATTACAGGCCTGAGACACTGCACTCACCCAAGAAATTATTAATAAGACATTTTATATTCTTTTATTGGCCTGAAAATGCAGTGTGCATTTTATACTTCTGGCACATCCCAATTCAAATGAGCCACATTTTCAGTGCTCAGTAGCTGTATGTGCTGGTAGTTCCCACATGGGACCTCGGTGCTCTGAGTGTAGTCCAAAGACCAGCAGCAGCATCACCTGGGACCTTGTTAGAAATGCAGAGACACTGTATCTCAGAACTTAAAGTAAAATGGTAATAATTAAAAAAAAGAAATGCAGAGACCTGGGCTCCACCCAAGACCTGCGGAATCAGAATGTGCATTTTAACAGGACTCCCCAGGCGACATGGCTGCACATTAAAGTTTGAGACACTCTGGTCTGGAAGACACAGTCAGTCCTCGGTAGAATCCCTCACATCCTCCACTTTTTCCTGAACATCCCCATCACCTGCCTGGTCTTGCTGAAACCTGGCTCTGACCTGGGGCACTCCTGCCCCCCGCAGTTCTCTCCAGTGGTGCCTGTTTCCCTCTTCTTCCCCACTCCCAAGGCCCTCCTGGCTCTGTGTCCCATGCCAGCAGGTCGTACCACCCACTTGCTCTTGTGGTTGCTATCCTTGACTGACCCTAGTCACTGCTTGGCACTTCTAGTTCCTTGTCACTCCAACAAGACTTAGTGATTTCAGCATCTGGTGATCCATCCAGTGTCCTGGCCCCCTCAGTTCTCTCCCCACCTCCAAAAAGCTTGACTTCCATGATTATACCTTAGACATTCCCATTACGGAACACACACACACACACACACACACACACACACACACACCCCTCTACATCCTTGCCATAAACTCAGTTTCAAGTAACCACTCTCCAGCCACTATTTCCTATTTTCCTCCTCACTCCCTCAAGCACCTTGATGGTCTTTCTACCATTGCAGGACCCACAACACATTGATCCATCCTCCACCTCACTGTCCCTCACCCCTCATCTCGTTATTTCTCTCCTTGCCACGGTTATTCCATGCTTCATCCATACAAGCAATCTCTTCCATATACCCCCCTCCTCTCTCTTTTGGTCATACATCCTCACCAAAGTCACAGTCTTGGTTAAATCCAACTCTCTGCCTTCACCATGCAGTTGTACATAGCCCAAGAAAAGCTTGTAACTATTACTTTAAGTACAAGATGATTAACCAAGTTATACTTGAGTGTTGCCAGCCCATTTCCCCAGTCTGTTCTCTCTTCTACTCTCCTAGATGACTCTCACTCCCCTTCCTTAAACTCTCAACACCCCTCCCCCATCCTCACTCTTGGAACCAATGCGGTGGTTAATGTTAGGTGTTCACCTGATGGGGCTTAGGTTGGGGTTTCACCATGTTGACCAGGCTGGTCTCGAACTCCTGATCTTAAATGATCCACCCACCTCGGCCTCCCAAAGTTTTTGATCTTGAAATTTGTGATGAGCATGGAGTTAGAGTGAGAGAGGTAAGGGCCACTTTGAGTTTTACCTAGTTCCATCTCCTATTTTCCCATTGCCCCTCCAAGAGACAGAGTGCTCACACATCTCATCGACAATCTGTAGTGGTTCATATTATACACTTCTTTAGTAGCTCACTCTAGCAGCTCACCCAGCAGTAACAAGTAGTTATCACAGTGCCTGGTATACAGTGGACACTAATAAATATTTGCTGAGTGAAGGCTGAATAAATAAAACGTTCAATCAAAATGTAAATTTGTCTCTTTTGTCTTCCTTGAACTTTAGAAAAAAGGAAACTGCTCAGCATTTTTCTCAAAGCCCTTGATTAGACTTGAAGAGAACATTAAAGAAGGCTTTTCTCTTGACAAAATGACTTCTTAAAACTTTTAATAGGGGCACTTGTTTTTGCTTTTCATTTTTATAGGAATTCTGGTGACTAGTCTATATTTTATGCAAGGAGGAATACTGAATACAATAAGCTGTAAAAGGCTTCCAGGAATATAGAGTGAGGAAGAAGGAATAACATTCCTGACCTTGAATGTCATCATCTAAATTGATTAATTTTTAAGCTACCCCCATAAAATAAAACTAATAGAAGAACAGAATTATCTGTTTCTCATCAAGATTCAATTCAGTAGGCATTTGCTGAATATCTTTGCAATGTGTTCTGGGTGCGTTCAAAGAAGTAAAATGTACAGCTGGTAACTTTGGAGATGCTCTGTTTTTTCAACAGTGTGAATTAAGATGTCTTTTTTTTTTTTTTTTTTTTTTTGATTTGGCATAACCCAAGAAGGCTTTTTAAAGGAAACACTAATTTCTAGTGTTTACTTGCCTTAGAACTTTGAATCAAGAAGCAGAGAAAGGCAGTTAGGGAGGTGTGAAATGTTTTAACTGACCAAGAATTTCCTTTCTCTTTGAATGCTCTCTTTCCATTTTGCCATTTCACATTTTAAAATTTTTTATAAATACTATCAAAGGTTTATGCTGGATTCCAAAGAAGTTAATAGAAACTTTGAATACATAAATGGAATTCCCAGCATAGTTGAACGGAATGTATACTATTGTGAGTAAATGCTTTATAATTTTTTCCTTTTACTTATTCTCATTGCCATTATATGAATTCAATTGTATGACATTTTATAAATTCACCATTTATGTGATTTTTTTGGCAGGGATTTTTAAAAAGATAGGCAGCAGCTTTTTATAAGTTGCAAAAACCATTCTTAGATGCCACATTTAACCAGGAACACTTAAAAAATAAAAAGCATTTTAAAAATATCCATTTTTAATATTTTAGATGAGATTTATTTTTAGTTAATGTATTTTTAGTTAACTCAGCAATATTGTTTATTTGGAATCCTGTTACTTAAATGTACAAGCTTTCGCCCTGAGATGAGCTTTATGGATTTTCTCAGGATTGACTTGGAAGATATATAATAAGTATTAAGGGAAAGTTTCAGTAACGTTCTTAGTTAAGGATATCAATGAACAGTGGTAATAATGTTTGGTCCAATTTATGCCTTGATTGATTTAAATTCCTGATAACTAAAATGAGAAGGGAAACTTGGCTTAATTAGGAGGTATACTGTATTTTTTTAATGATCATAGATTTCACTATTGGAAGGGAACAAAAACGATAATTTTCTCCAGCACCCTAAGACCTTGCTCCCTGGGGGCCAGGGCTGTGTCTTTGTCTCTAGAGTTTGCTGAGATTCTGGAATGTGTGCTCAGGAAATAGAGTGAGAGAGGGGAGGCATATCTGCCCCATTTAATTGTGAAGCAATGGAGGACAAAGAAGTTTCCTGAGATTACATAACCATCAACAGTTACAATCCCAGATTTTCTGCATCCTCTTGTGGGACATGACAAGAAATAGATACCTGGTCTCTGCTCCTGATTCCTGACACAGAGTTCCAAAAACCTTTGTAACTGCCTGGATGATAGGAATGCTGGGAACATCTTTTTGTTATAATATTTGGTCTTAGTCCCCAGTTTCTAACACAAGAGCTTCTAAGACCCTTGGAATTTCTGGAGTGATGAATGTCCTTCTCTAATGAAATGACTCGGTATTGGGGGCCCTAGATAGCTTCAGGATGGGGTTTGGGGAATGGAGACCAAGGCATGATCAGAGGGATGGACTTCCTGCCTCCCCAACCTTCAGGGAGGGCAAAGGGGCTGGAGATTGAGTTAATCACCAATGGCTCATGCCCAAATAATAAAGTCTGAATAAAAACCATTAAATTTCTTATTCCTCTGCCCCTCACACCTCATCGTCTTACCACTACCATGCCCATCCCTTTGCCATCCTGAAATTCTTTTCCTTCTGGTTTTTAAGCCTAGCTAAAGTGACCTCTGACAGCACAGGATACTGAAAGAGAAAGATCAGGACTTCTATTTCCTCCTGTAGGCTGTGTCCTGTACTGTCTTGTGGGAAAGAAGTTGGCTTATAGCAGGATGAGTCAGAAATCGGGGACTGTTTCCTAACACTAGGTAGTCCCTATGCCTTCTCCTTGTCAGATGTGGTTTTGTTCACTATTAGGTTGATCCACTTTGAGTGTTCAGGAAATACCTAGTTCCATCAGTCCTAGTTTCCATTCATGGGGATGGGTGACTCCTGAACATTCATTCATAGGATGGTCCTACCTAGGCTCTACACATGTTCATACAGGTGTAAGAGCCAGACCCCAGTAGCAGATGAAAACTCTATGATGTGTATCTCTTATGCACTGGTCTCATGCATGAGTGGAGGTGCTGGCCATTTGGGCTCTACCCATCCACATAAGGATTTCTAGAATCCAAGCCTATCCATCTGAAGGTGCTCATACCATTCTAGAGCCTTCCCGTCTCCCCAAGGCACATTGTTTCCTTAATCACTAGTGGGGCATCTGTCCCTTTGTTCTGCCTGCATATAGTCAGCTTGTCGTAAGAATACTAGAATGGCAGGGATTTCTACCCTATGGGCCTCTTTACATGACTGGCATGCTCCATTTACCACTGTGGTAGTCAAAAAAGCTCTCTGTCTAAAAACGGCCTTAATATGCTAGGTCTTTGCCTGACATTAGCATTCAAGGCCTAACGGGGTTTGTCTTAATGTGTTCTGGCTGCTATGACTATGTACCACAGGCTGCATGGCTTGAACAACAGGATTTATTTTCTCACAGTTCTGAAGGCAAGAGGTCCAAGATTAAGGTGTTGGAAAATTTGGTTTCTGGTGAGGCCTTACTTTCTGGCTTGCAGATGGCTGCCTTCTTCTTGTGTCCTCACATGGAGTCTCTGTTCCCTCCCCTTCAGCCTGCACATGACTTTGCAACTGCCTTGACTAACAAAGTACAGCTGAAGGCAATACAACATCTACCTAGCTCTCTCTCAGGATACTTGGCCTTGGGAACCAGCCATTGTGCTGTGAGAATGCCTAGCTCTGAGCTGTGGCTGAGCTCCCACACAGAGGCAGTGAGTACCGACTTGCCAACTGTGTGTTAGCTAGCCTGGAGGTGGACCTTCCAGCCACTGAATGTCCCTGTGAGGCAGAGATGAGCCTTCCCTGCAGAGCCCTGCCCAGATTGCAATTAACAGGCAACATAAATGACCATTGTTGTTTAAATCACCAAGTTTTGGGGTGGTTTACTAAGCAATAATAGGCACCAGGAACAATTGGGGATAAGTCTTTTCTCTTGTTGCTTCCTTGTAATATAATTTTTAACTCCTCAGAACATAAAAGAGATTTCTCCAGACTTTTGTTAAGCTTTTAGAAATATAACTGGTTCAAAAGGAATGACTGAATATATGCATCTACATCTTTTTTATTCCAATATCCTGATGAAATTATAAAAGAGATTTCATATTTTAAAAATCCAGCAAACTAAAGCTGACACTGTATAAAATGAAATACATACCATGATCAACAGGGGTTTATCCCACATGCATAAGGCTGGCTCAACATTCAAAAATCAATTAAGGTAGTCCATCACATCAACTGGCTAAAAAAGAAAATCATATGATCTTATCAATATACACAGAAAAGACATTTGACAAAATCCACTGCCTGTTTATGATAAAAACACTCAGCCTACTAAGAATAGAGGGGAGCTTCCTAAACCTGCTAAATAATATATCTGTTTAAAGCCCTACAGTTAATACCATGCTTAATAGTGAGAAATTAGAAGCTTTCTGGCTAAGATTAGCAACAAGACAAGGGTGATCCCTCTTGCCACTCTTTTTCAACATCATACTAGCAGTCCTAGCTAGTGCAGTTGGACAAAAAAAGGAAATAAAATGTACACTGATTGGGAAGAAAGAAATAAAACTGTCTTTGTTCATAGATGACACAATCATCTACATAGACAATTCAGAAGAATCTCCAAAAACCTCCTGGCCCTTATAAGTAATTATGGCAAGGTTGAAGGATGTAAGGTTAATTTACAAAAATCTACGTCTTTCATAAAAATGAACAATAAACAAATAAATTACAAACACAATACCATTTACATTAGCACCCCTAAAGTTATATACTTAGGTATAAATCTAACAAAATATGTGCTTGATACACATAAGAAAATCTATGAAACTGTGATAATAGAAATCAAAGATGAACTAAGTAAAATGGAGAGATATTTTATGTTCATGGGTGGGAAGACAATATTGTCAAGATATCAGTTCTTCCCAACTTGATCTCATTTTGGGGTGGTTTATTAAGCACTATATAATAGGGACTCAATAGGGATTCAATGCAATCTCAATCAAAATTCCAGCAAGTTATTTTGTGGATATTGACAAACTGATTATTGAATTTATATGGAGAGATGAAAGACCTAGAATAGCCAAATCAATATTGAAACAGAAAAACAGGGTTGTGGACTGACACTACTCGACTTCAAGACTTGCTATAAAGCTTCAGTAATCAAGATGGTATGATATTAGCAAAAGAATGGACAAATAGATCAGTGGAACAGAATAGAGAGCCCAGGAATAGAACCACGTAACAATTGACCTTTGAAAAAGAAGCAAAGAAAACTCAGTGGAGAAAAGTCAGTCTTTTCCTCAAATGTGCTGAAACAACCGGCCATCCACACGCAAACAAAACAAAACAAAACAAAATAAAAAACTGAATCTAGACACAGAGATTACATCTTTCACAAAAGTTAACTCAAATGGATCATAGACCTTCATGTTAAGTGCAAAATTATAAAATTCCCAGAAGATAACATAAGAGAAAATCTAGATATCCTTGGATATGGTGATTGTTTTTAAAATACAGTAACAAAGATAAAATTGATAAGCAAAGCTTCATTAAAATTAAAAATTGCTCTATGAAAGGACTCTCAAGAGAATGTAAAGACAAGTCACAGACTGGGAGAAAATATTTGCAAAACACACATCTGACAAAGGATTGTTATCTAAAATATGCAAAGAACTCTTAAAACTCAACAATAAGGAAAGGAATAACTCAATTTAAAAAATGGGCAAAAGACCTGAATAAATATCTCACCAAATAAAGTATATAGATGGCAAATAAGCACATGAAAAGATGCTCAACATCGTATGTCATTAGAGAATTGTAAATTAAAATGACACTAAGATAAAACTACACATCTATTAGAACGGCCAAAATCCAGAACACCTGATGCTGACAAAGATGTGGAACAGTAGGAATTTTCATTCATTGATGGTGGGGATGCAAAATGGTCCAGACACTTTGGAAGATAGTTCGGCAGTTTCTTACAAAACTAAACATACTCTTACCACATAATACAGCAATCACACACCTTACTATTTACCCAAATGTGTTAAAAACTTGTCCACAAAAAAACTTGCACAAAGATGTTTGTAATGGCATGATTACTAATTTCCCACACTTGGAAGCGACCAAGACATCCTTCAGTGGGTGAATGACTAAGCAAACTCTGGTAGATCCAGACAATGGAATATTATTCAGTGATAAAAAGAAATAATCTATCATGCCAAGAAAAGATATGGAGGAACCTTAAATGCATATTAGTAAGTGAAAGAAACCAATCTGAAAAGGCCATATACAGTATGATTCCAACAACGTGACCTTTGGAAAAGGCAAAACTATGAAGACAGTAAAAAGATCAGTGGCTGTCAGGGGTTGCAAGGAGAGAGGGATGAATAGGCAGAGCACAGAGGGCAGTGGAACTAACCTGTATGATACTATTATATAACGGTAATTACATGCCATTATACATTTGTCCATACCCATACGATGTACAACACTTGTTAAGCCCTAATATAAACTGTGGAGTTTGGGTAATAATAATGTGTCAGTGTAGGTTCATTGATTATAACAAATGTACTACTTTGGTGGGAGATGTCGATAGTGGAGAAGGTTGTGGGTGTGTGACAGAAGGGGGATATGGGAACTCTCTGTATTTTCTGTTCAATTTTGCTATAAATCTAAAACTGCTATAAAACATAAAGTCTATTTTAAAATACATATAATCTTTATATAATTAAATATATATAATGTTTAATGTCCATAAAAGCACTAGAAAGCCAAGAGAGGTAGAACTAGCTTAGAAAAGAGAGGACTTTCAGGAAGACAAAAAGAATTGATTATGGTGAAATCCAGTAGTGTGAAAAAAAAAATCAAGATAACAGAAATAATGGTTTCTATATTTTAGTTTCTTATTTTTTCAGCAATAACTATAAAAGGAAATATCAGGAAAAATAGATTCCCACTCACAATTGCAACATAAATTATAAAACCTTGGTTGAAATGTAATAAGAAAAACATTAGAGCTAAGTGACAAAACTTTAAAACTTTAAGTCTTAAATAAATTGGTAGGAAATAATTCTGTACATATTAATATAAAATGTAAGTATTTTATATGAATCTGTAAATATAATATTAGTCCCACTGCAAAGAAAAAATCCTAGTGGAAAGAATTTGATAAGATAATTCTGATATTTTCTAGGAAGAGAAAATGTGTTAAGAATAGAACATAGCTGGGCATGGTGGATTACGCCTGTAATCCCAGCACTTTGGAAGGCTGAGACAGGTGGATCACTTGAGGTCAGGAGTTTGAAACCAGCCTGGCCAACATGGTGAAACCCCGTCTCTACTAAAAATACAAAAAAATTAGCTGGGTGTGGTGGCATGTGCCTGTAATCACAGCTACTTGGGAGGCTGAGATAGGAGAACTACTTGAACCTGGGAGGTGGAAGTTGCAGTGATCCGAGATCACACCACTGCAATCCAGCCTGGGTGACAGAGCAAGACTTCGTCTCAAAAAAAAAAAAAAAAAGAATAGAACATAAATTTTAAAAATGAAGAATCATAAAGTGGAAATGATTAAGCTATTATACTGAAAAAGCTTGACACTGAAAGGTTTGAAAATTAAGGCAGTTAAACAAATGAGCTTCTAGTAAAATATCTATATGTAAATTCCAATTCAAGATACAAGAAAGACAAAATATCAAATTAGTGGGGGGAGGATGGACTAATCAACAGATAGCTTTGAGATCATTGATCAATGACTGTCCAGTTGAGAAAAAACATTTTATTACATTTTACATAAAAATACATACACAGGGGTGAGTAGTGGCTTACACCTATAATACAACACTTCGGGAGGCCAAGAGGCAGGAGGATCGCTTGAGGTCAGGAGTTTGAGACAAGCCTGGGCAAAACAGTGGCAAAAAAATCTCTACAAAAAATAAATAAATAAATAAATAAAAATCAGCCGGGCATGGTGGCACATGCCAGTAGTCCCAGCTACTCGGGAGGCTGAGGTGGGAGGGTTCCCCGCTTGAGCACAGAAGTTGTAGGCTGTGGTGAGCTAGGATCACACCTCTAAAGCCTGGGGCAGAGTGGGGCCCCATCTCTTCAAACAAACAAACAAACCATATACAGAAGAAAATAGAAGGACAGTGTTATCATCTTGCTGTGGGGAATATCTTTCTAAGTAAGTTCCTAGAAACAAAGCAAAATGAAAAGCAACTTAATGGGAGGATGTATTTGTAACATATAAAATGACACGGTGTTGATATCTATCATATACAAAAAGCTTCAACAAATCTACATGATAAACAACCGCACAGAAAATGCACAAAATATATGACAAGACAATTCAGAGAAAAGGAAATAGAAATGGTTAAGCATTTGAAGAGATGCACAACTTCACTAATCATCAAGAACACGCAAATTAAAACAAGATACCACTTTTTAAACATCTGGTTTTAAACGATTCCGAGTTGAATATTCAGTGCTGGGAATGGTCTGTGGAATCAGGCACTTTCCTACACTGTAAGTGGAAATGTAAACTGTGATCACCTTTGTCCAAGGCAGCTTGGCAGCATATATCCTGACACACCCCTGGGTCCTGTACCTGGCATAGATTACATATGGGATAATTATTTGTTCACTTAGTGCAGGATTAGTTTCACAAACGGAAAGAGCATGGACTTTGCTATGAGACAGAGAGGGCTTTCATTCCTGGCTTTGCCATTTATTTACTAAATAACCTCTAAGCAATTGACTGTAACTTCCCTGTGTTCCAACTTCTTATCTAAAAAAAAATGGAGATAACTTCCTACCTTGTAGGCTGTGAGGAATACTGAAACAATACATGAAGTGTTTCATCTAGGCTACCAACTTATAAGTGCTCAATGAAGAAAAGACTTTATTCTCCCCATATGATTTTCCTGACAACCCAAGAGAAATCCATTTCCTCAGAAAACTTTATCAGCTTCTTTTTACGTTCTCCTTCCTCCTCATCCAACCTTCTCAGAATTGCCCTTAGGCTCTTGTCTTTTGCCAACACAGTTTATTAGACTCTTGCTACTGAGGATGATGTTCATTACTACATCAGTCCTTTAATAGACTTGACTGCTGTGGGTTGAATTGAGTTCCCCAAAAAGGTGTTTAGGTCCTAACCTCTGGTATGTACTAATGTGACCTTATTTGGAAAAAGGGTCTTTACAGATGTGATCAAGCGAAGATGAAGTCAGAGTGGCGTAGGGTGGCCCTGACCCAACTCAACTGTTGTCCCTATTAAAAGAGGGAAATTTTTAACACAGACACACACAGGGAGAACATCACGTAACTACAGAGGCAAAGAAGGAAGCAACGTGTCTATAAGCCAAGGAAGGCCAAGGAATGCTGGCAACCACCAGAAGCTAGGAAGAGGCAGACACGATCCTTCCCTAGAGCCTGCAGAGCGGATGTGGGCCTGTTGACACCTTAATTTCAGATTTCTAGCCTCCAGAGTGTGAGAGAATAAATTTGTTTGAAGTCATCAAGTTTGTAGTATTTTGTTATAGCAGTCCTAGGAGACTAATACACTCCTGCACAAAAGGTCAATTGACTAATTCTCAGTTTGGTAATAACCAGTGGAACAGATGGAGATGACACAAGGTTTTGGGTAAGTATGGATAAATCCCCTAAAATATAAACTTGGTTTTTCCACATTAAGCTAGGGTTAGAAAAGGGAAGAATGATTATCAGTCTTTGTGTGTGTGTGTGTGTGTGTGTGTGTGTGTGTGTGTGTGCTGCTATAACAGAATACCACAGACTAGGAAATGTTAAAGAACAGAAACTTATTTCTCATAGTTCTGGACACTGGGAAGTCCAAGATTAAGGTGCCAGCATATTTAGTCTCTGGTTCCAAGATGGTGCATCATTGCTGCATTCTCCAGCAAGGGGGAACACTGTGTCCTCACATGGCAGAAGAGTAGAAGAGAGAGCGAGAGAGAGAAAGCCCACTTCCACAAGCCCTTTTCATAGCAGCATTAATCCATTCATGAGGGCAAAGCCCTCATGACTTACAGACATCCCGTTAGTCCACACCTCCCAATTCTGTTGCATGAATTTTGGAGGCATCACTTTCAAACCATAGCAATGTTTAAGGGTCAGATGGGTAAAAAAAAAAAAAAAAAAAAAAAAATTCTAAGGAACAAAACATAAGCTTGTTCTCTCAGTCCACTTGGAATAAGGAAGGAAAATTAAGGGTGTGGTTTTCCAAGCATTAAGCTCCAAAGGCCCCAAATTTCCCTGGCAGGGTGCCAGATGATTGTATGTTCTTAGTGGCCATTAAAGTTCTTCTACTGTGGCTCCAGGCTCCTTTCTTCTTCACTACTTAGTGGTCTAGAGAGATGTAGCAATAAAAATAAATTGATCAAAATTAGTTTAGATGAGTTGGCTAAAACAAAAAATGTATTGAGTTGCAAGGAACAGAAAATCCAGTTAAGGTGATTTAAAAAATAAGGAATGTACTGTCTCACATAGAAATCTAAAGGTAAGAAGTTTCAGGGTTGGTTACTATCGCAGCTCAATTATGTCAGGATTCTGAGTTGCTTTTGTACAATTTTTGACTTTCCCTTCATAGTCATAGGATATTCGGTATAACTCCAGGCATCATACCTACAGAACAACCCCCACAACCAGAAAGCGAAGTTTGTCTTTGCCCATCTCTTTTCAGGAAGGAAAGCCCTTTCTAGCCCAGCATACTCGGTTGTGATGAACTCTGAGCTATCAGAGATAATGGACAATGCATGCCCATGGCATGGTACACACTTTCTTGTTTTTTTTTTTTTTTGTTTTCTTTTTTTTTTTTTGAGACAGAGTTTCACTCTTGTTGCCCAGGCTGGAGGGCAATAGCACGATCTCGGCTCACTGCAACCTCTGCCTCCCGGGTTCAAGCCATTCTCCTGCCTCAGCCTCCCGAGTAGCTGGGGTTACAGGCATGCGCCACCACACCTGGCTAATTTTGTATTTTTAGTAGAGATGGGGTTTTTCCATGTTGGTCAAGGTGGTCTCGAACTCCCAACCTCAGGTGATCCACCCGCCTCAGCCTCCCAAAGTGCTGGGATTACAGGCATGAGCCACCGCGCCTGGCCTAGGAACATAACTTTCATTGTGACCATGTGACTATGCACGTTTGATGCCTGGCTTTATTGTATAATGCACCAACATGGCATTAGTTGCTCAGTCAAAATTTGTACATGGAATCTGGATATAAATCTAGGTGATGTTCTTGTGGGAGGTAGTTTTAGAAACCATACATAGTAATTACGTTGCTTTTCCAAGTCGATATATTTAATAGTCTTCACAAATAGCTCCCCCAATGAGCTGTGCCTCCTATGATTCACCCCTTGAATCTGGGCTGGCCTTGTGACTTGCTTTTGACTAATAGAATGTGACAGAAGACACACTGCATGACTGCTGAGTCCAGACCATCCAAAGCCTTGCAGCTTCCTCCTAGGACTGTTGTAATGTTTACTTTTGTGAAGTGAACTACCACGTGTAAGTCCCACCACTCAGACTCCCACACTGTGAGAAAGCCCAGGCCAGCCACACGGAGAGGGCTTCGTGGAGAGAAAGAAATGCTCAGCCAGGCCCTCGCATTCTCGTCATCTTAACCCAGGCAAGAGACATGTGCATGACGAAGCCATTTTGAACTTCTAACCCAATCAAACCTTCAGAGGATCCCAGCTCCAGATGCCATCTGACTGCAACCGGAATCACAATCCCAAGTAACAACTTCCGATCTGAGCTCAGCCAACACATAGAACCACAAGAGATAATAACATTTTTTTTTCTTTAATTAAACCATCAAATTTGGGGCCTCCAAAAAGGGAATGTGATGGACAGGTCCTACGGTCAATAATTTTCACCTCTTGTTGTTTATGTCTTCTTAACATTCCCCTCCCCTTGAGTGAGGGTGGGACTTATGTTATACAAGGCTCTGTCTTAGCATACTGGACTGGGAGATTCTTTTTGCTGGCTTCATGCAGTAAGTAGCCATGTTGAGAAAGCCCACATTGTAAGGAGCCACAGGTGGTCTCTAGGACCCAAGACTGGCCTCTTCTGATGGCTAGCAAAAAGCCAGGGTCCTCAGTCATACATCCACAATGGAGTGAATTCTACCACCAACCTAATGAACTTGGAAGTAGGCTCTTCCCCTGTCAAGCCTCCAGATGAGAATATAGCTCATCTGACACCTTGACTGCAGTCACATGAGACCCTGAGCAGAGGACCTAGCTGAGTCATGCCCAGGCTCCTGCCCCACAGAAACTAAGATAATAAATGTGTATTACTTAAGGCTGCTATGTTTGTAGTAATTTGTTACGCAGCATAGAAAACAAATGCAAGAGGTGAGTGTATTTTGCATAAGGAAGAGCTATGAATTGAAGTGGCCCAAGGATGGCCTGAGATAGTTTTCAAAGAGGGCCACAATCAATTCCTTTCCTCTCTGCATATTTGTGCTGCTCCTTAGATTGAGATGTGGAATCTAATTCCTTCCTGTTGAGTTGGACTGGTCTTGTGTCTTACTTTGTCTAGTAGAATGTGAGAAGAAGTGATGTTCTGAGACTTCAAGGCTAAGTCATAAGGAGTCTTGCAGTTTTTTCCTCAGTCTTTTAGAACCCTATACTTGGTAGTACTGACTCACCATGTAAGCTGTCTCCCACACTGAAGGGACCATGTGGAGAGGCCATAGAGAGGCCAGGGAGAGAGAGGCCTGGCCACTTAGATTCTATCTGAGCCCTGCTTTCCAGACTTCCCTGTCAAGGCACGAGACTGTGAGGGAAGAGTTAATGAACTCTCCAGCCACCATCTGAATACCACTGAGTAACTCCAGTTAATGTCACAAGGAGCAGAATAACTGCCCAGCAGAGCCCCGTCCTAATTACCCATAGAACGATGGGCTGCCATCAGGCAGGATCTGGATGGATCTCATACAGGAAAGGCTGAATGCCTTCAACACTAACCTGAGGATATCACCTATAGGAGGTGGGCAGGAGGGACTCAATGGCAGAATAATTCCACTTATTTCATCTCAGGGGCTAGGGTTGCATAACATGGCTATGCCTAAGTCCTTCTTTGACAAGGGGAATGGAACTAACATGATGGCTTTAGACGAATCAGGATTAACTCCCTGGCGTTTTCACTGAACACTTTACTTGGCTGAATGCTCCTTCTGTTGGGAGCCAAGCCATAGTATCTGTCATGATGATTTGAAGCCATGGTAATTTTGCCAGGATCCCAGCTGATACTGATTTTGCCACAACTATCTCCACTGCTCACTGGCTGCTGAAGGTTCCATCTTCACTAGCGCTTACTGCTTTTTGGTGAGGTTCCCAAAGGAGCAGCTTGCTTTTTTAAGACTTAGTTTGCTTGAGAACATGGAACAAATTACCCCAGAGTTGCATGTCAGGATTATTTAGTGATCCTATCCAATGTCAAGTCAAAAATGGGTCTTCTCACTAACATTTAGGACACAATCCAGGACAGAGCCCAGATACTCTTCAGCACTCTTCTATCCTAGGGCGAGTTTCCCAAGGCATGCCTCCTGGAGGTTGATGAAAGATCTCTCTTAGTGGGAATGAGGGGGCCATTTAAAAAAATTCATTAGGATCAAAGTTCTCTTTCCCAGAAAGTCTAGCAAATTCTCTATTGCATAGGATTCGTGACGCTTGCCTTTATAGTCCTAGCATTCTCATTATGCAGATTAGGCCCTTAGCCAACCCTTTACCAGTCATCAAAAATGACTGGAAGCCATTACTAGTTGAAGTGGACTGAGCCATGAGGAGCCTGAGATTTATGACAGCATCTTGAACATGTTAAACATATTAGTACAAAATGGTAAGGTTTCTCTGGCATTACAGTGCTTAGAATTAGCAATAAGACCAATATCTTAACCTTGAGGCAATTTTGACACATTATAAGAATCAGACTAGTAACCAGGAACTGGAAAATTTCCATAGCAGTCAATGGTGTTTTATTACCTCATCTATTTTAAAGAACAATGTATTACTTCATCTCTAGTGTTTTATGTTATTAGAGATTCACTTTTATTGAGCAAGGCTTTAAGAAATGTCACAAAGGGAGGAGTGGGCATAGGCATGTTCTCAAATCCTGAGGGGAAAATGCTGAAAATAAGCTCCATGGACAACTTAAACCTTCACATGCTTTTCCTCTCTGGGTTTGATGCTGCTAATGGAAAAGCAATGCTGTGCTCCTTGAGAGGAGGTTCTAATTAGACAGTATAGCAATGATTCCAAGGCTCTGCTCCCTGGGTTTTAGCGCATTGAGAAATTGAGATTATTAGAGTGGAAAACCTTCCCAATAAAATGTCCCCAATGAAGTTTTCTAGCTTGAAGACTATTGGTCAAAAGAAAAAAAAAAAAGAAAAAAGAAAAATTAAAAAACAGAGGAGTAGGCTCGGTGCGGGGGCTCATGCCTGTAACCCCAACACTTTGGGAGGCCAAGGCAGGTGGATCACTTGAGGTCAGGAGTTCGAGACCGGGCGTGGTGGCACATGCTTGTAATCCCAGCTACTCAGGAGGCTTAGGCGGGAGAATTGCTTGAATCCGGGAGGCGGGGGTTGCAGTGAGCTGAGATCAGGCCACTGCACCCCAGGCTGGGTGACAGAGCGAGACTCCATCTCAACAAACAAAACAACAACAACAAAAACCCAGAGGAGCTAGAGACAAAGTGACTTAGGCTTACATACATAGCCTGCTGTAGATAAGGTATATACGTGGCCCAGAACTCATACTTGTAATACTCATTTGCCTGAAGACAGCTATCTGATGGGAAATTGTATGAGTGAGGATGTAAGAGAAAAAAAATAAATGTGTTCAATTATTTTGAACACATTTATTTTTCCTTTTCTAAATACATCATTCAAAAAACTTGCTGTAGTCTGATTTCATTTGTAGGATGGTATATTCCAAAGTTGAGGTGGCAGATTTCAGGAACTTCCTAGAAATTTTAGAGCTATTGGCCGGGTGTGGTGGCTCATGCCTGTAATCCCAGCACTTTGGGAGGCCGAGGTGGGTGGATTACCTGAGGTCAGGAGTTTGAGACCAGCTTGACCAACATGGAGAAACCCTGTCTGTACTAAAAATACAAAAAATTAGCCAGGCATGGTGGCACATGCCTGTAATCTCAGCTACTCAGGAGGCTGAGGCAGGAGAATCGCTTGAACCCAGGAAGCGGAGGTGGCAGTGAGCCGAGATCGCGCCATTGCACTCCAGACTGGGCAACAAGAGTGAAACTCTGTCTCAAAAAAATAAAAAGAAATTTTAGAGCTATCTCATTGCCTTTTAACTCTGCTTCTAAAACCCTGCTGCTTCTGCTATGCATTCTAAGAAAGATTTATGCGATGTATTTTATTCCAGTGGAAAAGCAGGGATCTAAGTTGTCTCATGTCCAACAAAGTTGGATTGTCTCAGATTTTATTTAAAAATCCAGTGCTTCTATTCTGCTTATTACCTGAACTGGAAAACTGGTATAAATCTTGAAGTTGAAGTTCAGGGAAAGTAAAAAAAAAAAAAAAAAAAAAAAAAGAAATGGTCTCTACTTCTCCTTCTCTACTGGATGCTTTCTGTTGCCCCGACCCTTCTCTCTCATTCATTTTCATGCACTCAGGAGGTCATCTCTTTGGTCTTCCAGTCTTGGTTAAGAGCACTGGGTCTGAAGTTTGAGCCATGTCAGCCAAGGGTTAGAGCTGGACACAGAAGCCACTATAGGGATCTCAAGTAGAAAGGGATTTAATACAGGAAATTCTGTATTTACAAAATCCTTGCAAGAAAAAAATCTGGCAGTCTAAAAAAAAAAAAAAAAACTAAACATGCAATGATCACGGGACCCAGCAATTGCACTCTTGGGCAAAGTGAAAATGTGTGTTCACACAAAAACCTGTACATGAATGTTCACAGCGGCTTTATTTGTAGTGGTCCCAAACTGGAAACAGCTGAGATATCCTTCAGTAAGTGAATAGTTAAACCAGCGATTGTACTGCCATACTATGGAATACTACTCAACAAAAAAATTAATGAGGCCGGGTGCAGTGGCTTATGCCTGTAATCCCAGCACTTTGGGAGGCAGAGGTGGGCAGATCACTTGAGGTCAGGAGTTCGAGACCAGCCTGGCCAACATGGTGAAACACTGTCTCTACTAAAATACAAAAATTAGCTGGGTGTGGTGGAGGGTGCCTGCAATCCCAGGTACTTGGGAGGCTGAGGCAGGACAATCGCTTGAACCTGGGAGGCAGAGGCTGCAGTGAGCCGAGATTGCACCACTGCACTCCAAGCATGGGTGACAGAGCAAGACACCCTCTCAAAAATAACTAACTAACTAAATAAATAAACAAACTATCCATACACACAACATCTTGGATGATGACTCTCCAGAAAACTTGAATGACAAAAGCACATTTCAAAAGATTATTCATTTATAATGCTTAAAAAAAATTGAGACAAGGTCTTGCTCTGTCACTCAGGCTGGAGTGCAGTGGTGCGATCATGGCTCATTGCAGCCTCAATTTCCTGGGGTCAAATGAGGTCCCAGCATCCCCAGTAGCTGGGACCAGAGGCACGTGCCACCCTGCCTGGCTAGTTTTTATTTTTTGTTGAGCTAAGGTCTCGCTATATTGCTCAGGCTGGTCTCAAACTCCTGGGTTCAAGCAATTCTCCAGACTTTATCTCCCAAAGTGCTGGGATTACAGGCGTGAACCATTCCACTCAGCCTATGATACATTTTGAAATGACAAAATTTTAAAAATAGAGGACAGATTTGTGTTTTCAAAGGATTAGGGATGGGGGTGGGAGGGAGGTGGTGCAGTTATAAAGGGGTAACATGAGGTGTCCTGGTGGTTTTGGAATCTTGATGGCGGTGGTGGATGCATGAATATATACATGCAATAAAACTGTATAGAAGTAGGCCACACATGGTGGCTCATGCCTGTAATCCCAGCCCTGTGGGAGAGGCCAAGGCAGGAGGATTGCTTGAGCCCAAGAGTTCAAGACCAGTCTGGGCAACAAAGTGAGACTCCTGTCTCTACTCAAAATAAATAAATTAAAAAAATAGCTGGGCATGGTGGCTCATACCTGTAATCCCAGCTCTGTGGGTGGCCAAGGAGGGAGGATCAATTGAGCCCAGGAGCTGAAGACCAGCCTTGGCAAAAGTGAGACCTCGTTTCTACTAAAAATAAGCAAATTAGCTGGCCATGGTGGTGTGTACCTGTGGTCCCAGCTATATAGAAGGCTGAGGCAGGAGGACGGCTTGAGCCCAGGAGGTTGAGGCTGCAAGTGAGTCTGGATGACAGAGTGAGACCTTGTCTCAGGCAAAACAAACCAAACCAAACGGTACACAAGTAAATACACATACTCTTGCACAAATGAGTACAAAAACTGAGGAAATCTGAATGAGATTGGTGAATTCTATCAACGCCAATATGCTGCTTGTGCTATTGCTCTATAGTATTTGAAGACATGACCATGTCACTCACTGTATTTCTTAAAAATACATTTGAATCTACAATTATTAGTTGAAAAAAATATTTATGAGACAGAGGAAGAGAACTCGGAGGGCCTTCAGTTGTTGATGTCAGGACATTACCACCATAGCTGAAGGCCAGAATTCAGAAAACCACTCCTGCTGCCATGCTGCTCCCCCAACCCAAGTGGCTCTCATGCCCATGAAAACGGTGACTAGACCCAAACTTGGACTCTAACTGCCGTTAATCCTCATGTCAGTTGGACCAGAAAGCAGAAGGATGGCTTCTGTTTCACTTCCACCTGCCAGATTGAGCAGGAACGCATCTAATTGACAAAGCTCAATTTGCTTCCTATATATGAGATGCAAAATGGTCTGGGACATGTGGCTTTGAGCACTCTAATTTTTCCAAAGAGAGTATGGAATGGGAGTTGAATGAGCATAATATCTACCATAACCAGCCACTAGCTATGTGGCCTTGGGCGAGTTTATTAATGTTTCCAATCCTCAGTTTCTGACTCTATGAAATAAAGATCATTATCATACTGAGTGTGGACAAACTCAAATTGTTTTTCCCCTGCTCTAACAAAACACCAATCAACAGAGAAGACTTCTGTGACCAAGTATGCATGGGATTTCTTCCCACCCACAAGCAGGCAATCAATTCTATAGGGCACACCAGCTGGGTGCCCTTCAATTCCATTCAACTCTGACACTGTCTCCTTGGAGATAGCATCAGATCCCACAGGTCAAGGGCTCAGTCCCCAATACTGTGCCCCCGCCAACTTCTGATGCCAATTGCAAGCCCCAGGTTATTCTACCTGTGCTTCTGACTGGCCAAAAAGTGGGCTTCACGTGACCCCCTTCTTAGGTTTATTAATCTGAAAGAGTGGCTCACGGAACTCAGGGAATCTCTTACTCAGGATTACCAGTTTACTGGTATGACAAAGTATATGACAAAGGATGCAGATGAGGAGATGTACAGGGCAAGGAATAGGAGGAGCTTGGAGCTTTGGTGCCCACCCTGAAGCGTCACCCTCCATGTACCTCCACGTGTTCAACTATCTAGAACTCTCTGCACACAGTCCTTTTTGGGTTTTTATGGAGGCTTCATTATGTCGGCATGATTGATTAAATCGTTGGCCGTTGGTGATCAACTTAACCATCAGCTTCTCTCTCCTCCCTGGAGGTTAGGGGATGGGGCTGAAAGTCCCAGCCCTCTAATCCTGCATTGGTCTTTACAATGACCAGTTTCCACCCTGAAGCCACCTAAGGGCTGCCAGCCAACAGTGAACTCACTCATTACCCTACAAAATACATCGCTTTGGTGATTCTAAGCATTTTAGAAATCATATGCCAGGAAAACAGAAATGAAGACCAAATATAGATTTCACCACAGCAGACGCACTTACCTCCTGGAGTTGGCTGAGATGCAGCACGCTGCCCCACACATCTCACACGCTCCCTCCATCCATGCTGGCCATTAGCATGGTTTGTGCAATCTGAGAAAGAAGATCAGCAAATGTTCCATGTGAAAAGCAAAGGAAAGAAATGTTTAAAAAAGGAGAGGAGAGAGAATTTTAAAGGGAATGCTGGAGAATCGTTCTTGAATAACTGGCATGCACTCAGTGGCAAGAGATGGGAAAGAAAGAAGTGAAAAATGTTATTCCACATATTTAGTCTTGTACAGAATGATTGACTTTTATCCAATTAGAGGACTTGGAGTTGGAGGCCTCACTCTTTTCTCTATATTTTGTATCATATTAAAACAAATATGAAAATGTTATGAAAAGTCATAAAATGATTCAATATCATATCCCTTTCAGATTATAGCCCCTTGAAGATTATTTCTCCTCTACTGCTATACCCTCAGCAGCTAGTATGTTTCTGGAGATTAGCCAAGTTTGTGAGTAAAGGTATCAGCATCAACAATTAGCTACCAAATGTATTTGCTTCTTCTGACATACCATGAAGTCACTGTATAGTATAGCCAGTGTCTGTCAGTTCAACCACCCGCTTGTTAACATCTTTCACTGGCCTCCTGGAGAAGGGTTACTCAGCCTCAGCACTATTGACATTTTGGGCTAGAAAAATCTTTGTTGTGGGAGCTTCCTGTGCACTGCAGATGGTGAGCAAAATACTTAACCTCTACTCATTAGATACCTATAGCACAACTCCATTTGTGACAATCAAAAATGCCTCCAGACATTGTCAAATGTCCCCTGGGGGCAAAATCACCCAGGGATGAGAACTGTGTTAGAGGAAAACACAACTGAGCCATCACCCTTAGAGCTTTCCACTACCGCTGGTCGCTTTACTTCTAGTTAATGTAATCTTCTTATGCTGCCCCAGACCCTGTGCTGACGTTGTTCAAGTTGCCCTAATGCTACTGGGAAAATGACAACAACCTCCACTACCAACCTCCTCCCTCCGAGCCCACAAACAGTTAAAAAAAAGAACCTCTTTTTCCCTCTAGCTGTCAATCATGGGTTGAATTTTGTCCCTCCCCCAATTAATATATTGATGTCTTAACTCTTAGTAGCTCAAAATGTGACTGTATTTGGAAATAAGGTCATTAAAGAGGGTCCTAATCAAATGTAACTGGTGTTCTTATAAGAACAGGAAGTTTGGACACAGACACACATACAGAGAGAACGCCATGTGAACATGAAGACAGCCAGCTACAAGAAAAGGAGAGAGGCCTCAGAAGAAATCAGCCCTTGATCCTAAACTTCCAGTCTCCAGAACTGTGAGGAAATAAATTTCTATCGTTTGTCACCCTATGGATGGTACGTTGCTGTAGCAGACCTACCACCTGTCTTCAGAAAAGTTCTCTAGAGAAATAGCCTTTATTCTTCAAGCTTCCTCTGACCTACCATTTCCCATCATTTTATAAATATTTTCAGGCCCTAATAATGTTGATTTTTTTTCCATTTTTCTTCTACTGTCACACACTTCTAGGGCAGGTGTTTGGTGGTGTGACAGGAAATTGACTGGTGTCAACTTCCAGTGTTTGTGTGATAGGAGGTCTCAAAACTACAGGATAAATGTGTCATATCTCCCATAAGTATCAGTTTTGCTCAGTGATTTTTTTTTTTTTTTTTTGAGATGGAGTTTTGCTCTTCTTGCCCAGGCTGGAACGCAATGGCAAGATCTCGGCTCACTGCAACCTCCTCCTCCCGGGTTCAAGCGATTCTTCTGCCTCAGCCTCCAGAGTAGCTGGGATTACAGGTGCCCACCACCACGCCTGGCTAATTTTTTGTATTTTTAGTAGAGACGGGTTTTCACCGTGTTGGCCAGGCTGGTCTTGAACTCCTGACCTCAGGTGATCCACCTGCCGCAGCTTCCCAAAGTGCTGGGATTACAGGCGTGAGCCACTGCGCCCGGCTTGCTCAGTGATTTTTTTAAGGAAAATGTTAAATAATTGGCTCATGCATTAATTTAAAGCGTATTTACATGAAAATGAGTATAGTTTTAGCATATTCCCGTATATTTCACAGACATTTCTAGCTTATAGCATGTTCCTCTCAATGGAAGTGTTCCCTCTCCTCAGCTTCAGGGTCTCTTCATCACTCAGAGGCACCATCAGATGTTTGTTGAGCCATTCTCCTCATAGAACGCAGAGGAGAGGCCAGGTGTGAAACCAGACCAGTCTATCTATAGCTAAGAAATATTCCTAACGGACCTCGAGGAGCGCGAGAGGGAGGTTTTAAATGTAATCCTGAGCTTTTCTGATTTTGGGGTTCCAGGTCTGCTATACATACTCTTGCACGTTATATTGGGCACAGCCCTAGTAACTCTGTGATTTGAAATGATGATCTGAAGTTATCGATTAGGGAGAGGAATGTGGACAGAGAAGCAGAGCAACGGAGACCGGGAAGTTTCCGTCTGTGTCCTGGATTGCAGCCAACTGCTTAGGCACACACACCTGCTGCCCTCCCGGCTCTGAGTCACCTCCTCTCCTCTCCCTGTCCAACGAGCAGCTGCCAAATGGCAGCCAAATCCAACAGATGTAAGCCGGGACCCCACCTGTGTTTGAATTACTTTCTTTGAAATCTGCCACGTCCAGGTTTATTGACCCGGGCAGTCTTTTCAACATTTCCTTATGCCGCATACGGGTGGGGCTAGGGACTTTCTTGTGCACTGGCAGTCCTCAGAAGAGAAAACTTTGAATTCAGCTATTTGGAACCTCGTTACTGGTTCCGAGCCTCAGGAAAGGCCAGAAGAGCGAGAGCCAGCCTAGTTAGTCACTCCCACATCTGTGACCCCCGTTTACGGGCCTTGTACGCTACTGCCCTTCAGGTACCATAAACCGGGCTTCTCAAAGGGCACTGCAACAGGTTTCCAGGAATTATTTATCAAAGTCCATGACCCCGGCCCTGTGACCCCTGGGTTTGAAAATTCAGACCTTCAGCCTAACGGAGAGGTCGGCTCAGCGTTCCTCCCAGCATCCTCGGGCGATATTAGGGTCCTGGGAGATTCGGGAGGCCACTGCGTCCAGGCCCCCCACGGCCAGCCAGGCGAGAGGCGGGACGCGAAGCCGCGGCCTCCTTCCTCTTCCCTGAGGCGGTGGCGGCGGCAGGCCCCGCCCCTCCCGCGCGGTGGCCGTCGGCGGAGGGGCGGGGCCTGCTACAGCGTCGCCGGCTGACGCGAATGACGCTGCGCCAGTCAGGCCGCAGCCCCGCTGCTTGGCCCGTCGGGCCCGCCTTGGCCGGCTCGGCCCGCCCCCGGCCCTCCCTGCACGGCCTCCCGTGCGCCCCTGTCAGACTGTGGCGGCCGGTCGCGCGGTGCGCTCTCCCTCCCTGCCCGCAGCCTGGAGAGGCGCTTCGTGCTGCACACCCCCGCGTTCCTGCCGGCACCGCGCCTGCCCTCTGCCGCGCTCCGCCCTGCCGCCGACCGCACGCCCGCCGCGGGACATGGCACACGCACCGGCACGCTGCCCCAGCGCCCGGGGCTCCGGGGACGGCGAGATGGGCAAGCCCAGGAACGTGGCGCTCATCACCGGTATCACAGGCCAGGTGAGTGCGGGGGCGGGGGCGCGCCGGCCGAGGCAGCCTGGGCACGCGTGCTCTCCCTACGCGCCGCTACTCGTGGGCTGCGGTCTCTCCAGGAACAGCCCTCTCGGCGTCCCGGAAGGGGTCTGCTGCCGGGAGGTGGGACGGAAGGTACGGTGCAGTTAGTGTGTTGCGTGTGGGGTGTGCGGGATACATCGAGCGCCTCTGGTCTTTCTCTGGGGGCTGTGAGCGTGTGTGCCGCGCGGGATGTCGCGCTCACACCCGGGCAGGACCGCCCGCTCTCACCTGCCCCTCAGGTGACCGCAGCGTCTCTTCCTCCAAGCCCATGTCGTGCTTCGCAGCTCCTAGTGCCGGAAAGGGAAAAGAACCGGTGATCAATGAACTTGCGGGTGAGGTCTTCTTGATGTGTCTCGGCTCAAGGGGCGCTTACCTGCTAACGTTTGGGAAGCAAGAAAAAGGGTGCTTTGCTGGTTTCGTCCCCTATCACCGGATTTCCAGATAGAAAAGAGAACATGAAAGAAAGTAATGCTGTGGAGTCACCTACTAGGACATGTTTAGGAAAAAGAACTTAAAAAACTTTTTAAAATCACGCCAACTTCTGAGATTCAGGTTGACACATTTGGAAGTGTATCCGAGGCACACTGGTCCAAAAGTGCGGCTAGTTCCATTTTCAAAGGAATAAGTTCGTCGAGTAAGGTAATCAAGAGGAGGTCTTCGGAATGTCTCAGGCTAAGCATGGCTGGTTTGTGAGGGTCGCCTCTTAGAGGTGTTGCAGTAGGTGGGATCCGACCGCTGTGTCTTACCAAGCTGTGCTGTTTTAGATTCAGTGGTCATGAAGTAATCGTGCCCACATATTGCTGTAGAAAGAATGTGATGTGTGTGCTCCTGGGTATCTCTGGGTGGTGGCCAATATAACACTGAGATAAAGGTGATAATGGCTAATACATATTGTGTCTATCATGTTCCAGTCGCTTGCCTAACATTAACTCATTTAGTTCTCATAACAAACTCTTTGAGGAGGTACTTTTATTATCTCTATATATGTGGAAACTGAGGCATGGGAGTTTGATTTGCCTGAGGTTAAACCGCTGGGAAGTGTCCAGTTGGTATTGAAACCACTCTCAAAGTTCTCTAGTGTTAGAAAGGGCTAAGTGGGCAGGAGGCAGCGGCTCATACTTGAAATCTCAGCACTTCGGTGTGCAGAGGTGGAAGGATTGCTCGAGGTGAGGCCAGGAGTTTGAGACCAGCCTGGGCAACATATTGAGACGTTGTCTCTACAAAAAAATTTAAAAAATGAGGCAGGCATGTTGGTGCTCACCTGTAGTGCTAGCTACTCAGGAGGCTGAGGCAGGAGGATCACTTGAGTCCGGGAGTCTGAGGCTGCTGCAGTGAGCAATGATGGTACCACTGTACTCCAGCCTGGGGCAAGAGAGTGAGATCCTGCCTCAAAAAAAAAAAAAAAAAAAAAAAAAAAAAAAAAGAAGGAGAAGTTGAAATTGGCCAGATGCACAGTCACAGAATATTACACAATTTCAAGTATTGAATACCTGATTTACTGCTGGTTATTCATGCATCTTGCTTTGCTTAAGGTAATCATAATAGACAAGAGTTTGAAAACTAGTAAGAGGTGGATCTGAGTTTGAAAACTAGTAAGAGGGCAAGGATCTGAGGTTGAGAAATTGAATCCTTGAATTGAGGCAGTAAGACAGGTCAGGGCCTACATACTGTCCTCCCCCTTCTCTTTGTTTTCTAATGCTGGGACCTTTCTGCAGATGATTCCCTTTTTTCCATTTTGTCAGACTGGACCTGAAGCTCAAATGTTTACCAAGTTTACCTAATCTCTGGAAAGTAGAGATTTTATTTTAGTATTGTCCGGAAATTAGTTAAGATTAACATCTTAACTAATGTGCTGTGTTGGTGTGGCCTATACCAATTTACACGACCAGCAGTATGAATCAGTGCAGATTAGAAATGGAACCTAATTTTGACTTTTAAGAGCAGTCATTTGGCTGGAACTGAGTGGCCAGGAAGGTATGGAAGTGGGCCCCCACTCTAGTTTGTCCTGCAGCCTGTCATGGGAGTCTACCTGAAGCACCACACTCAGCAGACCACTCCCTGACTGGAATTTTTTGGTTCCTCATTTCATTTCCAACTTAAAACACCTGCATGGCTTTCAGGTTGGGTTGAATCTCTGCCCCAGTGTTTCTTTCTTCCCTCCGGCATCTGCCCTCTGCATTGTCTCCTCATTTGGTGTTGCATTGGCTTCTGTACCCCTAGCATAGTGCTGAATTCTGTAGCTACCACATAAACACTTGCAGATGGAATTTACTGCTCTTTTATGTTTTTTATTTGTATTCCAGGACAGTGACTCCCAACTTGAGTATCAAGGATCTCTGGAGCACTGTGGTGTTAATGCAAGGGGTCTGAAAATCCATACCTTATTGTATGTTTTCTTAATAATATTGGCTGAGAACTTACTGAGCTATTCACTCTGCTAAGCATTTTGTATATCCCTACCTAAGAGACAGGTATAATAAGTATCCCCATTTATCCCTGGCTAAGTAAGGTTAAATATGTTCCCTGAGGTCGTACATCTAATGAGTGTCAGAACTGAGATCTGAACCCAGATCTCAGCAGTTGCTGTAAGTCATTTTGTTATACAGACTGTGGTGAGCCTTATGAGACAGAGAGAAATAAATAGTCTTACTCTAAGAAGAGATTTCAGATTCAAATGCCACTGCTCTGGCACTTGGGGCTATCATGGCATTTGTGCCAAGATGGGCTCTTAAATGGGTTGTCCCAAATTCCCGCTTGAGAATAGTGCGGACAGCCAGGGTGTCCTGTCTGCTGTGTATCTCTAGTACGTATTGTCAGGCTTCTTATTCTAGCCTTCCCCTCCCATCGGTTCTTGACACACTCCTTTTCCAAAGTGGGAACCTTATTAAATAGGCTTTAAAGAAGCTCAGGCTCTGGCTTTGCATTGCTGTCTCCAGGCCCTCTGCCAGCCACTCTTAAAAGCTCACCCCCATTGGCTAATGATGCTGTTCTTTACTGCACTCTTGGAGATGTTCTTGCTGTTTTTTGAATACTGTTGCCTTGTACCTCTTTGGAGTAATTATTTGTGGCTGAATGGCCTCACAATTCTTATTCCTTTTAAGGTGAGTCTCAGTGTTCTCAGCCTAATCCTGATAAATGCAGCCATTCCAGGAACTTCCTCTGTATTTACATGTATGCAGTCCCTGTTGATTGTATAAGTAATTTCATATCTTTTGTCTTGAGATTATGAACTACTTTAAGATAGAAATCTCATTTTCAGCCTGTTACCTCCCACATGCCTTCATCTAGTGGGGTTTCAAAACTGTTGACTTACTTTTTCCATTAGCAGAACACATCTTCACTGCATGTCTGCAGTGTCCAAGGCTTGTTTTGGTGCTGCTGCAGATATAAAGATATGAAAGTTGTCTTCATCTGTTTGTGTTGCTATAAAGGAATACCTGAGGCTGGGTAATTTATAAAGAAAAGAGGTTTATTTGGTTCATGGTTCTGAAGGCTGTACAAGAAGCATGGCACCAGCATCTGCTTCTGCTGAAAGCTTTAGGCTTCCACTCATGGAGCTAGTGTATGCAGAGATTACATGGTGAGAGAGGAAGCAAGAGGTGGGGTGGGGTGTGGGGTGCCAGGCTCTTTTTAACAACCGGCTCTAGCGGGAGCTAATAGAGTGAGGAGTCACTCATTACTG
This sequence comes from Homo sapiens, assembly GCF_000001405.40. Lineage (NCBI taxonomy): Eukaryota > Metazoa > Chordata > Mammalia > Primates > Hominidae > Homo > Homo sapiens. The sequence goes on along the minus strand of NC_000006.12, from coordinate 2,241,584 downwards.
TGAGGATGGCACCAAGCATTCATGAGGGATCTGCTTCCATGACCAAAACACCTCCTATTAGTTCCCACCTCCAACCTTGGGGATTAAATTTCAGTGTGAGATTTGGAGGGGTCAAAGATCCAAACCATGGCATTCCATCCCTGACCCCCCAGATCTCATCCTTCTCACATGCAAAATACAATCATCTTTCTCATGCAAAATACAATTCCAATAGTCCCTAAAATTCTTAACTTGTTCCAGCACCAACTTAACGGTTCAAAGTCTGAGACTCAAAGCAAGTTCCTTCTAGCTATGAGCCTGTAAAACCAAAAACGAATAATTTTTTTCCAAGATACAATGGTTGTACGGTCATTGGGTAGACATTCTGTGACTGCAGCAGCCAGGATGTCGGAGCAGCATGTAGGACGTTCCAGGACTCCTTGAGGTGTGCCAGGCCAGCTGTGCCCCGGGCCTGTCTCCCCAAACCATGCTGTCCTCCTAGGTCTCTGGGCCTCTGATGGGAGAGACAGCCTCAAAGATGTCTGAGATGCCTTCAGGGTCTTTTCCCATTGTTCTGACTATTAGCACCTGGCTCCCTTTTATCCATGCCAACCTCTTTAGCAGGTGATTGCTCCCCAGCACCATTGGCTTTCTTTACTGAAAAATGCTGTTTTCTTTCACTATCACATGACCAGGTTGTAGATTTGAAAAATTTTTCTGATCTGTTTCCCTTTTCTCTACCAATTCTACAAGTAATGCACTTTGAACAGCAAATGCAACAGACTGAATTACCATCTTCCTTATGACATTGATAGTCTAGTGGTATGATGATGGTGATAGTTATAATTATGGTAGATTAAAATAATTAACAAGTACTGAGCATTTAGTTTGTGCCAGGTACCGTTCAAAGTGCATTACATTTTGTTCAAAGTATATTTGTTGAAGCAACAGAGAGCTTCTATGAGGTGGTTTTCTTTTTCTTTTCTTTTTTTTTTTTTTTTTTTGAGACAGTCTTATTCTGTTGTCCAGGCTGGAGTGCAGTGACGTGACCTCGGTTTACTGCAACCTCTACCTTCCAGGTTCAAATGATTCTCGTGCCTTAGCTGCCTGAGTAGCTGGGATTACAGGTGTTTGAATTACTGCTTAGCTCTTTCTGAACTGCACTGGCTTTGGGTAAGTCACTTATCTTTTCTGCCAGGTTGGAAGAATAATTCTTATCAAATAGGAAATAAATCTGCACATAGTAGTGGCCTTTGCCTCATTACTGGAATGGACCTTCCCTCCATAGTGTTAACAGAATAATAAAAGATTTCTTGACTTTTAGGAAAGGAAGTTGAATGTGGGAGGTATTACTATTTAGCCTTGCTTTGCATGGGGAATCTATTATCTAGAAGCAGAAAGTTCTGTAATATTTGGAATCAACCACAAGGCTATAAAGTACTGGGAGGCCAACAGATTTAATGTCCAGTGAGTCTTTCAAGACTGTGCAAAGCAGATCTGGGAGCTGGTCTTATCTTCTCATATAAGAGGATTGTAGGCAGTGACTTCCATTCTAAATCTTCCTTGCTGGGATTTGCAGTCCTGGGATAAAAGGTTTGGCATTATTGGGCTGGGCGTGGTGGCTCACACCTGTGGTCCCAGCACTTTGGGAGGCTGAGGCGGGCCTCCCAAATCTCTGGATCACGAGGTCAGGAGATCGATACCATCCTGGCTAACATAGTGAAACCCTGTCTCTACTAAAAATACAAAAAAATTAGCTGGGCATGGGGGCAGGTGCCTGTAGTCCCAGCTGCTTGGGAGGCTGAGGCAGGAGAGTGGGGTGAACCCGGGAGGCAGAGCTTGCAGTGAGCCGAGATCGTGCCACTGCACTCCAGCCTGGGCGACAGAGCAAGACTCCATTTCAAAAAAAAAAAAAAGGTCTGGCATTATTGGAAGTGAGAGAGATGTCTTGAGTACTGTCCTGCTTAATCAAAGACTGTTACATGTGATTAATTGAAAGAGCTCTGGACTGGGAATCAGAGGTTGGGTTTTGATACCAATTAATTGTATAGCCTTACATTTTTTGAGTGTTTTTCTTAACTTGTCAAGTGAAAGGGTTACCTGGTTATTCTTAGGGATCTAAGGGCTGCTCCTAGTCTACAGTAGTGTGATGTTTGGATTACATGCTGACTTATTATGTGTACAATAGAGAAATTATGCAATTATCTTTATATTTAAGCAGTGCAGTAATTTCAGTTTTAGACATAAAGCCAATTGGATTTTTTTTTTTTTTTTTTGAGACAGATCTTACTCTGTTGCCTAGGCTGGAGTGCAATGGTGGTATGATCTCACTCACTGCAACATCCGTGTCCTGGGTTCAAGTGATTCTTGTGCCTCAGCCTCCTGAGTAGCTGGGATTACAGGCGTGCGCTACCACGCCCAACTAATTTTTGTATTTTTAGTAGAGTTGGGGTTTTGCCATGTTGGCCAGGCTGGTCTTGAACTCTTGGCCTCAAGTCATCCGCCCACCTTGGCCTCCCAAAGTGCTGGGATTATAGGCGTGAGCCACCGTGCCCGGCCAGGATAGTTTTTTTTTTAAATGAAACCAATGAACTATTAATTTTACTGAATTTGAAATTAAGTTTGTAAACTAAGAAGAAATTCATATGAGTTGTATGTTGTCAGAATTTGTAAGGATAGAGTGAAAACTTGGAGCTGTCCATCTTTGTAGGACATATCAAATGAATGAAGTGACTTTTTGGTGAGGAACGATTTTTTTTTTAACTGGTACATAATAATTGTACATATTTATGGGGTATGTGTGATATTTTGGTACATGTTTGTAAAGTTCAAATCAGGGAAATTAGGATAGAGGAAGGAGTTTTAAATTCTTGGGTTTTTCTTGGGTAGAAAAATGGAGTTAATTATGCCCACATCACAAATTGATGTGTGGATTACAAATGATGATTATATTATAATAAGGCCTATCACTGTTCCTGGCATGTAGTGTTTATGAAGTGATAGTTCTTATTTATTATGAATAAGTTCTCACAGTGGGAAGGAATGAGAGAAGGATGGAGAAGTGCTTGGGAATGCAGTTAGGGGTATGTAGGATGAATGAGAATAGTAAAAGTATGAGGATAATGAGATCAAGGATGCAAATGCATTTTGGTGACAGGTTGGATGGTAATAGTATGGCCAGAAATGCAACCACTGGGAAGGAAAATCAGTTTTCTGGGGGAAGACAGTGAATTATTTTGTTCCTCTGGAGTTTGAAGTGCAGTGGTGCAATCATAGCTCGCTGCAGCTTTGAACTCCTGGGCTCAGGTGATCCTCCTGCTTCAGCCTCCCTGGTAGCTGCCACCAAGCCTGACTGATTTTTTTACTATTTTTTTTTTTTTTTTGTAGAGACAGGATCTCACCAGCTGACCAGGCTAGTCTTGAACTCCTGGCCTCAAGCAATCCTCTGGTCTTGGCCTCCCAAGTGCTGATAATACAGGTGTGAGCCACTGCACCTGGCCTCTTTGTCTTAAAAATGACTTAAAAGTGCTCAGAGGTGGCTGCTGTAGAGTGGGCAAGTCCTAAAGGTGGCCATGCTGCTGTGCTGTACCTTTAGCCAGTCTTCTTCCCTGTCTCCCAGAACTTTCTGTAGCTCTTACTTAGAAGGCATGAAAATTAACACTTTCCCTTTAGTTTCATGATTGATGTTAACCAGGCTATTCTTAGTATATTTCAGTTTTCTCCTTTCTTTCTCCTTTATTTATTTGTTGATTATTTGCATTTCCTAATGTTAAAGATACTTCCAGGCGGGGCGAGGTGGCTCATGCCTGTAATCCCAACACTTTGGGAGGCCAAGGTGGGTAGATCACCTGAGGCCAGGAGTTCAAGACTACCCTGGCCAACGTGGAGAAACCCCATCTCTACTAAAAATACAAAAATTAGCCTGGCATGGTGGTGGGCGCCTGGAATCTCAAGTACTCGGGAGGCTGAGGCAGGAGAATCGCTTGAACCCGGGAGGCAGAGCTTGCAGTGAGCCGAGATCATACCACTGTACTCCAGCCTGGGTGACAGAGCGAGACTTTGTCTCAAAAAAAAAAAAAAAAAAAAAGGTACTTCCAAACTTCCAATTTACAATTTCTCATGCTTTTCTTCCTTTCTTGAGGAATTTTGGGAATCTCACACTTCCAGAAGTAAGGTGCTCAGTTGCATTAACCATTCCTGTATAAGCTTAATACATAGGAAATGAGTGAGTAAAACATGTCTGAAAGGTAATCCTATAGGATAGAAAGCTGATTATCAGTAATGTTCTTGGCAGTGGGGCACCAATGTGCCAAACCTAGTCTTTGGCAAGCTAGTAAGCAATTTTCCTGCCAAAATCTTGTGACTTACCATAAGTAGTAACCCAATTGTTTATATAAATTTACTCATTGAAATGACTCAGCTTTCCAGGATATTATTTTGGCATTTACTTATGTAGAATTGAGTTACATAGACTTGAGGTTAGATGATTTTATATGCAGTGACGTTCTTGGCTGAAGGGTATTTACTTCATTTGTTTCAGACTGTTCATACTGTGCCTTTTAAACAATTTACCACATGTGATTCTAGGGGAATCCTTTCTCAGATCTTCATACTAAGTTCTTTTAAACTTAAGAGTGAAAAAATAAAGGTATTTACTAGGGATTTATAGAAAGTATTTCTTTATACTGACTAATTACACTTGGGAAAATGAACCACCAAAGCTTGGTTGTATTATATATATATTATGCTTGAGCATTTGGTTTGATTGTAATGTGAAATGAATTGCTTGATCATGTTTAACAAAAATATGTTCCTTAATGCTGAGTGAAAAAGCCTCTAATTGGCACTTTTAGAAATCTTTTAAAATCAAAACATGATTTTTCTATGTTTCTTAGAATGGTACTGTATTTCTATCACTTTTCACAAAAGTTAGATTTTTAGTATTGCTTTATTCGAACTATATTTTTACATCGGTTCTTTAAAAATGATGAATTGGAATTTTGCAAGTATATGCAGACACTAGTAGTATTTTTTGGTGATCAATATTGATAAACGTGTTTATTGTAGTTTACAGTGGAATCCTTCAAAATGGAAGCTTTGTTGCAAGAGACCTGCAGGACAAAATGCAAGTGTGGCATATATGCTTGTTGGAGTAAACCCAGTCAAGGAGAAAGACAGCAGAAACCCTGTTTGTCAAGAATTGTGGGAGGCCTGAGATTTTACCTTACTTGCAGGCTAACAAGTTAGCTTCTTAAAATTCCACGGATGATGGCAGAAGACACAGCACTCCTGGGTCAGCAGGCAGTATGAACTTCATGTTTGTGACAGCTCTGTTTGTATAGTATTTTCTTGCCCCTCAAAGACCATGTGGGTAACACGGTGGCTGGGTGGGTCTAGGTGGATGTTGCCCATGCAGTGGGTATGCACCACAGTTGAGAAAATCTGAGATTGGGAAACCCCAATTTTTTATAAGGGAACTAATAATCCTGCCCAGCCTTTGCTTTGAGGGAGACATTATTTTTATTATTCTGCATAGCAAACAAATCTTCCATCTGCTCCAGAGAGAAACACTATTGCTATCTTAAAATGCTATCTACAGATGTCCTGTACAGGAAAGATAGTAGCCAATAAAAGCTGTCAGTGCAATCTGCTCATAAGACATGCAGAAACTGGAGAGACCCATAGAGAACTGGCTCCCAACACCATTTGTTTGCCTTGTTCCTGAAACTTACCAGATTGGCAACACAGACCAGTTTTCCTCTTTTTTTTTTTTTCTTATTTTTTTTATTTTTTTTTATTTTCCAGAAAGGGTCTTGCTCAGGCTGGAGTGCAGCAGTGCAAACACAGATCACTGGAGCCTCAACCTCCTGGGCTCAAGCGATCCTTTGGCCTCAGCCTCCCGAGAAGCTGGGATCACAGATGTGCACCACTATGCCTGGCTAATTTTTGTATTTTTTTTTTTTGTTAAGATGGGGTCTTGCCGTGCTGCTCAGGCTGGTTTCAAACTCCTTGGCTCAAGCAATTCTACCATCTCAACCTCTCCAAGTGCTGGTATTGCAGGTGTCAGCCACTGTGCCTGGCCCCAGTTTTCCTCTTATGTCTCCATGCAGACTATGGGGAGCTCCAGCTTTGCATTTGTTTTCTTTTTGCTTGAAGAACAAAATGATAAGACCTGGATTTGGGTGCTTAGTATGGAATGAATTAGGCATTGTCCCTGGGGGAGGCATTTTATATTTCCCTGTATGTATAGGCATGGGAAGTATAGTAGGTTTGATTTTGTTGGAATGTTTAGTAAGTTTAATCTGATAGATTAGTCTCAGTTGGCCTGAAGAAGTCTAGCTCAGAAGGACATTTTTCCAGCCCTGAAGAAGAATATGCCTGCTTCCCCATCACCCCTAAGGGGATGATTCTAACTCTGTTGGCTGTGGCACCTTTGTGTACACGTATCATCACTTGTTTTTTTGTTTTTTTGTTTTTTTTGAGATGGAGTTTTGCTCTTGTTGCCCAGGCTGGAGTGCAATGGCATAATCTTGGTTCACAGCAACCTCCACCTCCCAGGTTCAAGCGATTCTCCTGCCTCAGCCTCCAGAGTACCTGGGATTACAGGCATGTGCCACCACGCCCGGCTAATTTTCTATTTTTAGTAGAGACGGGGTTTCTCCATGTTGGTCAGGCTGGTCTCGAACTCCAGACCTCAGGTGATCCGCCCACCTTGGCCTCCCAGAGTGCTGGGATTACAGGTCCTCACTTGTTTTTAATTTACTCACTGAGTGACCGTAAACTTCTTGCATTAATTTCAATGCTTTCTCTTTTTTTGCTTTAAAATTGTACCTGATGTAAACTCTCATACCTTCATTTAGAGATTACTCCTATCATTTTTGAGAATGTTTCTCTGGTGTCTACCATATGCTAATAGGGCCTGCCCTCGAGGTCAGAAAATTTATGTCTTTTCAAATCTTGTAAGTTTGCTAGGATTTTATTTTTTTTATTTTTTTTGATACGGAGTTTCGCTCTTATTGCCCAGGCTGGAGTGCAGTGGTGCGATTTTGGCTCACTGCAACCTCCGCCTCCTGGGTTCAAGTGATTCTCCTGCTTCAGCCTCCTGAGTAGCTGGGATTACAGGCACCCGCTACCATGCCCAGCTAATTTTTTGTATTTTTAGTAGAGATGGGGTTTCACCACGTTGACCAGGCTGGTCTCGAACTCCCGGCCTCAGGTGATCTGCCTGCCTCGGCCTCCCAGTAGGATCTTGTTTTGATTTTCATGAATTTTGATGTTATCATTGAAATATCTAGAAATCTGCATATTTTATTTAAGAGAGTCTGCTTTTTGTACACAAGGAATGCTTGTTCTTGGTGAAGCCTCAGGTATGATGGATAGGAAGGAATAAGAAAGCTGTTTGAGAGGAGAATAAAAGGACTTAGCTACTGATTGGATTGTTGGATTGGGAAAGTCAGGAGAAGTAAGGGTTTTTGTTTTGTTTGTTGTCTTTATTTTTATGGTTGATACCAATGACATTCAGTTTGTGTAAATCCATGAGGACAAGACTGTATTTTACTGCTGTATCCCTAGTGCAGTGTCTGAAATATGGTGGGCTCTCAATAGATATTTATTGAATGACATCTGGAGTTCATACTTCCTCAGAAATCCTGGAGGAAATACACTGCATATAAGAAGGAATGGGAATGTAGATGTGCAGTGTATCATACTTTAGAGCAGGATCGACAAACTGTATCCCCTGGACCAAGTCCAGCTGCCTCCTGTTTTTGTTTTTGTTTTTCGAGATGGAGTCTCCCTCTGTTGTCCAGGCTGGAGTGCAGTGGCGCGATCACTGCCCACTGCAACTTCGGCGCCCCCCACCGGGATCAAGAGAGTCTCATCCCTCAGCCTCCTGAGTAGCTGGGACTACAGGTGCCTGCCACCATGCTTGGCTAATTTTTGTATTTTTAGTAGAATTGGGGTTTCTCCATGTTGGCCAGGCTGGTCTAGAACTCCTGACCTCAAGTGATCTGCCCACCTCAGCCTCTCAAAGTGCTGGGATTACAGGTGTAAGCCACCACGGCAAGCCCTGTTTTTGTAAATAAAGGTTTGTTAGAGCATAGAACACCTGTTTACTTATTGTTTCTGGCTGCTTCCACATAGAGTTAAATAGCTGCAACAGAGACCATGTGGCTTTGAAAGCCTGAAATGTTTACTCTCTGGCCCTTCACTGAAAAAGTTTTCTAAGGTTTGCTGTAGAGCTCTCTTCCTTAGGGTGGATAGTGGAATTGCTACTGATCATAGATGATATCTCCAAATGAGAGAATGTGGAGACAGAAGGATGAGAGTGAGGAGGAGGAAAATGTTTGCATTTCAGGCTTGGAAGAGAAGGAAGCTAGGGAGGGAGGGGAGAGGAGAGAGAACAAAAGTACTGAGTAATATCGTGGAATCTGAGGGAGGCCAGAGATGTTTTTGTTGTTTTGGTGGTAACATGTAACATACAATTTATCATTACTGACATTTAGTACATTTACGAGGTCGTACCTTCTTTACCACTCTAGTTCCAGAACACTTTTTGATCACTCCGGAAGGAGAGCCCATACCCATTCATCAGTCACTCCCCATCCCCTCCTTTCCCAGCCCCTGGCAGCACAAATTTACATTCTGTCTTGTATGTTTTTCCCTTTGCCTTAGATCTGGGAAAGGTTTTTTTTCGTCATGGTGGGGAAATGGGCTTCTGTGCAGTCAGGGGAGAAGCCGATGGAGGAAAGGAGTAGTGTGGTTATGGAAGAGGCTGAAGGGGAGAAGGTCGCGGGCATCTGGAGGCCTGAGATGTGCATGAGCATCCAGTCCTGCACCGGCGCTGGTGCTGCAGTGGTGCCGTCTCTGTCACTGCAGTGCTGTTCTCTGAGAGCTGTTCCGCAGCGTGATTTTGGGTGCTGTTCCTCATTATGAAGCCTCTCAGTCATCTTCTTCAGTCTGCACTGTACCTTTCATAGATTTCTGATTCAATTAGCTGCAGATTGGTTTTTGTGGCTTCCTACCTGAACGAAGATAGAAAATGATGATATATATGATGGTGGACGGTAAGATGACAAACCAGTTTTGAAGTCCTCTAAGAAACATGAAAGTGGATGTGAGTGGTAGATCACACCAGTGAGGTTGTGATTTTGATTAGAGTGTTGTGAGTAAATTTCATGGGCCATAAGTGCTGACAAACAAAGATTGTTATGGTTTGATGTTTCAAAAGGGGCATCAGGAATTGAGGATAAAGTGTTTGTTGTACCCCCTTTTGGGGTCTAGGAGAATGAATGAGTAAAAATCCTGAATGTCAGTAGCTCATGGAGTGTTAGATTTTACATAGACTGGTAAAAACCTGAGATTGATATATGGTGGCTAGGTTATTTTGAAAGTAAGAATCTTAGGAGTAACAAATTGCTGTCTGCTATCACAGTATTTAAAAAAAAAAACCCGTTTTACACACCAAAATGTAAGAAGAACATGCTCCCAGAATAAAGAACACTCACCAAATTATATACTTTTGACTATGTGAACTACTTTTTCTCATTTCCATTTTTTTCATTTTGCTAAAGAACGGGTTAAAAATGTGTCATGGATTGGCATTAGTCCATACAGTACATTTGGGAACCACCTATTGAATACTATTAAAAAAATTTCATTTGTCCAATTTCATTTGTTCAGATTCTGAAATGAAAAACAATTTCATTTATCTGATTTCATTTGCTCAGAACCGAAATATGAACTTCTTGGGGATAGGGATCATGTCTTAAACCTGTGGTGACCATTTTTTTTCTTGACTCCAAGGTAGGACACACGTTATCTCATATATAAATGATCTAGAGTGGAACTGAATGTTGGAAACCAGGGCTGTCTGGAAGAATTTGGAGTTACTATACTTTATAATACTTCATTCTTCCTGGTACCCATTTGATATTGAGCACCATAAAAGGTGCTTGGTAAGCATTCGTTTGTTGGTTGTTTCAGATTTCATTTTAACCACTTCCTTTGGCATGCTGAGCAAATTCCTTAGGCTTTTTTTTTGGAGACAAGGTCTGGCTCTATTGCCCAGGCTGAAAAGCAGTGGAGCCATCTCAGCTCACTGCAACCTCCGCCTCCTGGGCTCAAGCCATCCTCCCACCTCAGCCCCCTGAGTACCTGCGACTTTGGGTGGGTTCTACCATATCTGGCTACTTTTTGTATTTTTCTTTTTGTAGAGATGGGGTTTTGCCACGTTGCCCAATCTGATCTCAAACTTGTGAGCTCAAGCCATCCGCCCACCTCAGGCCTCCTAAACTGCTGGGATAACAGGTGTGAGCCACTGTTCCTGGCCCTTGGGCACTTTTCATACCTCACAAAGAATATACTAGCAGAACTTAGGAGTCAAGATACCCAGGGAATCCTTACAGCTCTGTTTCTGCAGCTCTCCCTAGTCTCTGAGTGTGCTTGGAAGGAATATTCAAATCATCATTGTGTTGTTTCAGGTTTAACTTGGGAACTTGAAACTGAAATCAAGTTTTGGGGACCTTCTGGGTGGTGACAGATCTTGTTGTTTTGACCAGGCACTCTTTCTTGTCCCCCTGTCCTTATAATGTTGACTTAGGCATCCTGCTAGCTTTGTGAGTTGGTCAACCCTGGGTATTAGGGGAAGGAACGGGGGGGGGGGGTGGGAGGGGGGAAGAGAATACTAAATGCATTAAGTGAATTTCTCAAGGTGGATGGGAAGGTTTTGGGGTTTTTTTTTGAGGAGAAGTAATAATACATAGTAGATTTTTGTTAAAGTTTTGCTTTTCTACATTTAAATATAAACCTTGAAAAGGAGAAATAGGAAGAGTTGACCAAGTATTGAAGTCCCTTTTTTTTTCCTTTTGGCTTTTTTATGGACAACGGTGGTTTTTAATTTTATCCCTTATCAATTTTGCTATTTTGACTAATTTAGTAAGTTCAAATTATTTAAATTTATGTAGTATTTTCTTTCCATTGAGTTGTCTTTTAATATTTACTGTTTGAACATATAGGTTTTAACCTATTTAAGCGTTACCAAAAGTTTATACTATTGCCAGATTGTTACTATGGAAAATTTCATTTTAGTTGCTAAAAACAAGGAAGTATTTTATCTAGGCCAGGGAAATAATTGGGAGCCCAACTAGAAATCTTAGCAGATTCTCTATATAGGACATCGCTGTTAGTGGAGGGCTTAGGGATGGATCCAGGAAACCTGAGATTACTGCTTAGGTCTTTGAAGAATGGAGATCACTTAACCTTTATGGGCTGTGGTTTTTCTTCTCTTTAAATATACGTTTCAGAAAATAGATGTAAATATACGTAGCTAATAAAAGCATCTAGATTTTTAGTTTTCATCAGTCAAAATTTATAGCATGTGTAATGGAAACTTTTAGTAGGACATTGACTGATGTAGATAATGCTTAACGTTTGGATTTGGGAAAGATTTCAGGAATTAATCCTGTGGTAGGACTCTGAGGAGGAAGTCAACTGTGGACTCTGGAGAGGGGTCTTCAGAGGAGTCTCGCAACTGTGGACTCTGGATAGGGGTCTTCAGAGGAGTCTCGCAACTGTGGACTCTGGAGGGAGGTCTTCAGAGGAGTCTCGCAAAGCCTGTAGTGGAATAGGCAGCATTGTTGTTTCCATGGCAGCTTGGAATGTGGAGGTGGAAGCTGCTTCCCTGGGGCTCTAGGCAGGAATAAGCCTTCGAGGTTTACAGGTAGAGTCTCATGCTGGATGACTGGGTTACAATTTAGTATTCTTCAGGTAGAGCAACCAAATAATGCTTTGAAAGATTCATTTATCTTATAGGTCAACAGTTTTTGTTTTCTATTTAGTTGTAGTAAGATTGTGTTAATAGGCAAATATTTTTGTCAGGGATGATCTGGGCAAAGTACCCATTTCTGGTACCTGAATTCTGGCCTTGGAATTAAGATAAATCTGTAAAGGGAGAGGAGAGAAAGATGAACATGAGTTTGATTCCTGACCTCAGTACTCACTGGGTGTCACAGGCAAATTTACTTTTTTTTTGTCTTGCTCTTGCCCAGGCTGGAGTACAGTGGCGTGATCTTTGCTTACCGCAGCCTGGACATGCTGGGCTCAACTAATCCTCCCACCCCAGCCTTCTGAGTAGCTAGGATCACAGGTGTGTGCCACCACACGTGACTCATTTTTGTATTTTTTTTTTTTTTTTTTTTGTAGAAACAGGGTCTCTCTATGTTGCCCAGACTGGTCTTGAACTCCTGGGCTCAAGTGATTCTCCTATCTTGGCCTCCCAAAGTGCTGGGATTACAGGCATGAATCACCATGCACAGCCCATGGGCAAACTTTTGAGTCTTTTTGAACCACCCTTATCTGTACTAGGACGAAAGAAAGTGCCTTGCGTAATGATCTTCTGGAAATGAGAACATTGTTATCCTGGAGGATCACTTTGGTTTTTCTTGTATACCAGACTGGATGCGGGCAGTGTCCTACCTCTGGACAGTGATTGGCTGATGCCCTCTCTCACCCCATCTGCAGTGAAGCCCTGGGGAAAAGTGGAGCCACGGGAGACCCCCACCACTAGAAGTTTGCTTCAGGGACTCTTGCTTTTCCTGTCTTCTTCCCCTTCCCTTTCCCCACTTCATCACATCAATCATAGAGTTTGCCTCCAGGAGCTAGCCTCTGGTGTGGTTGCTGCCCAGAGCCTGGCTGCCTGGCCACTTCCATTGCCCCATTGTCGACTGGAGCCTTATTTTACTCACTTCTCAGATGTCATACCTGGATCCCACTTGTTGAAGCTGTCAACGGGGGGTATTGGGGCTAATTCCAGGGGCAAAAAGGGAGCTCTACAGCACTACACAGTTGTACTGAGAAAGCTATTCCATGCAGCAAATGCATTGTTCAGGGTTACTCTTAACACTGCACATTATGGCGCAGGAACTAAATTTGTGTTCAAATGAATGCCCTTCCTACAGAGAAGTGGACTCCAAGTTTAAATAGCTGATTTCCAAGTTTTCTTTGGAAGGATTTGTTAAAGCACACACTTTGGATCAGTTCTTACCACCAGTTCCAAAGCTCACCAAGCTTAGGTGGAAGGAGGCATGGCTGCCCTGGGGATGGGGAAGGGATGCTTTCTTAATTGTACTCTGCATGGGAGAAATGTTTCTTTCTCTTAAAAGCAGTTTTACCTGTTTAAAAAACGGGCTCAGCTCAAGGCAGATCACTTAAGGTGGGACGGAGAGGGTTTGGAGTGTATATTGAAGAAAAGGAGAGTGCTTATAAAGGTGGGGGAGGAAAAGGAGGACGTGAAGGCCCAGAAGTGCTGAGAAGCACAGAAGGGTGGTGTTGGTGTTGGCTTTTCAGTCTTCATTTTCCTCTGTGAGTGGATCCTTTTAGATCAGTGGTGGGATGTCATAAACGTTTAATCCTGAGTGACACAGAAGGTGACACAGGCTTGCACTTTATATCCAAGAGGAACCAAGCACACTCAGATAGGTGCCTGCCATTCTTGTTTCTCTAGGAAAAGTTCCTAAAGGTGCTAAGAGGGGTACATTTTGTCTAGGTTCAGCACTGGGAGGGAGGTGTAAGAAGCTGCTTGCCTTCTTTTTACCTTGTACTTCACTGCGTAGACCCAGCACAGGCTTGGGCCACGTGCCGAGAAAGGGCCGCACAGCCACAGGTTGGCTCTCATTGAGCATGGTTATGTGTTAACTACCCATATTTCCTGGAAATGCCACAGAACTGAAGTTGGAAGCAGGTAGGAGAGCCTATGTCTGGACAGCAAGGGGAGTCCTGGGCAGCTGCACTTACATGGACCTTGGGGAGCTGGCCCCGTTGTTGCCTTGCTGTCATGGCCACTGAGATTCAGCTGCTATTGTGACCCAGGGGACCTCTGTGTGGCACAGCCTTCTGTTCTGGAATCCCAGGGAAACAGCTCTGGCCTGCCCGCTCCTTCCTATAGTTCCAGCCACAATTGGCACCTCACTCCCTGCATCCAGTGCAATCTCAGGTGTCTCCTGCTGTGCTTGCCTTTTCCACAGTCACTCTCTAGGAACTACTGAAATTCTCACTAGAATCAGCTGTTTCTCTAGATATGGAGCTTGTTCCAAAAGAATACTTTGCTTTTTTGTTGATGTTCTGACCTTTGATTTCAGTCCTCTCCAAAGATAAGAAACTTGCCATTTGTAGTTGAAGCATCCATAAAGCATGGTTCTGATGTTGGTGGTGTAATAGAATTACTTGGGCAGGTTGAATAACTCTTGGCTCTTCTATGCAGTTCAGTGGGCTTAGGGTAGAACTTGGAGCTGGCTGTTTTTAGAAACATTCTGAGGTGTTTGAAAAGTGAGGTGTTGTGGTTGAGAACCATTCATTTATGGGGACCGTAGTAGTGACTTGAAACATTTTATATATATATATGACATATATATGGAAATATATATATTTCATAAACTTTTTTCCTTAACATTTATTCAGAATAGTAAAAATAATGTTCACTATTGAAAAATTGGAAGTATAGGAGGATATAAAGTTTCAGGGGGAAAAAAAACAACACCCGCAATCCCACCACTCAGAAGTAATTACTGCCTGCATTATCTTTTCTTCATTGTTTTGACTAACTTGTTACTGATTGACTTCACTGCTTTTCAGCAAATGTTACTGGCCTTGAGTTGGATATGGAACTTAAATTCCATCTGGAATCATTCCTGGATGATTCTTTCAGAGTCATCAAGTACTGATTGAGTACGAGGGACTCCAGGGATGAATGCATCTGGGGGTCTAGGGTGAGGAAAATCCCAGCCTCAAGAGATCTTGTTAGTTAACCAGCTTAGCACCTCCTATTATGATTGTCATAGACATTTGTGTGTATATTTTAGTTCACATGTTAGGTGTTTTTAATGGTTTCATATTATTTTGAGTGATAGAATTTAGGAGAGTAAATGCTAGTAGAATCAGAGTTCATTAGTTTTTGACATGTTATATGCAAACACTTAAAAAAATTCCTGTGATGTTTGCTGAAGTTTGCATTTCCAGATACTCATATTCCATTTCTGTGTATTCTGATAGGAGGGTTATAATATCTCTGTTGTTGGGGCTATTGCTCTGGAGTATTTATCGATTAACTTTTGTTAATGATATACTCTGTGAAAGCACTTTATTAACTGGATTAAAAAAATTAATTGTAGCACACAGTAATGCGAAAATTTAGTTGGAATGTTGCCCTTATGGACAGTTATCATAGGCAGAATCTAACTCTTAGATGGGAACAGCAATCATGATCTCACAGGTCTCCTACAGCTCTGACAAATTCTTTCAAAATTAGTGAACTGCATTCTGGGTCTCTACTATAGAAGAGTCTCTGACTTCACGGGTTTCATGTTATTTCTACCCAGGAATCAGGATGCCTCACCCAAAGGCAGTTTTGACAAAATTAAAGTATATTGTTGGTGAGTGTCCAGAAGAGAGTGAAAACTGGGATGGCCTGGCTCAGTGTTGGTCTAGCAGAAACTACCTCTAGTGTAATTGTTTCCTTTCTCCCTCCTCTTTGTTTTCTGCCTCTATTTCATTTCTTTCTTTTCACAGTTTTTTCTTTTCTATTCCTCTCTCTTTTTTTCTTTTCTTAGGTTAGGCTTTCAGGGGCTGGAATGGGAGCAGAGTTCACCTGCCAGGAAGTGAGAATGGCAGGAAAGCTGGAATGGCAGTCCTTGGCTCTCCTGTGGTCGAGGTCTGATTACCTTCTAGGTAGTCATTGTGTCCCAGGAGATTTCAGAGAACAAACAGTGGAATCTTATTTAAATAGTTCTGTTAGGAGCATTAATGTTGTTTGTAGGTCATGGTCCAGATGGAAGCTGGCCCTTTTCTGACAAATACCTGGAAACATTTCCTTATTCTACTGTACGTTAGGATTTTGCAATCATTCTTTTCTGATCCCTAGCTTACTGGATAATCACAAAGGCTTTTTACTTCCTTTGTGCTGTAATATTGATCATCTGTGTTGGTTGGTTTACAGCCAACACACTGATCCGGATGCAAGCCGGAAAATCTAAGGGTTGGCAAATGATTCGTCATTTGCATAGAACAGCCTAGGACTCTTCAGAATGAACTTATGGAAGAGAGCTGTGGCATAGGAGCAGGAGAAGGTACAAGTTAGGGAGCAGTTTGGTATTGCACTTCATCTTTAGTTCAGCTTTGTTGCAGGGATCAAGACTGCAAGTTAAAGGGCAAGTTAGGGGGCACCTCTGTCTTTAATGAGATCATAGGATAAAGGCTTATTTATTTGTTTGTTTGTTTATTTATTGAGACAGGGTCTTGCTTGGTTACTCAGGATGGAGTGCGGTGGTGCAGTCTTGGCTTACTGAAGCCTTGACCTCCCCAGCTCAGACAATACTTCTGCCTCAGCCTCCCGAGTAGCTGGGACCACAGTTGTGCACTACCATGCCCAGCTAATTTTTTTTTTTTTTTGTATTTTTTATAGAAACGAGGTTTCACCATGTTGCCCAGGCTGGTCTTGAATTCCTGGGCCCAAGCGATCCACCCACCTCGGCTTCCCAAAGTGCTGAGGTTACAGGCCTGAGCCACCATGCCCGGCCAAGGCTTACTGTTCATCTCAGGTAGCGTCTGACATCGTGTGGACGTACGTGCGTTCAAATCTCCTCTCTGCCAGTTCTCAGTTCTGTGACTTTCAAGTAATTATTCAGCCTCTCTGTGCCTCAGTTTTCTCTTTTGTAAAGTGAGGATAATGGTACTAGCCATAGGTGAGGGTTGAAGGACACAGTGTCTGGCACATAATATTAATAAATATTCATTAATGTTTTACTCTTGGCTGTCCTGAACATTAGTCTGCTTTGACCTAGAATTCTTTTCCTGAAGACACGCTATAATTTTGATGAGAGTAAACAACTAACTCTTATTTGCATGTTCAAATAAACATGTTTTTATGAAGGTACTTGGTGTTCATTAACAAATGCTATACTTATGATTTTTTTTCTCTGAGACATAATACCAAACTTGTACATAAAATATTTCTGATCACTGATCTTCGCTCCTATAACTATAAAATTATATGTAAAATAGCTAAAAACTACTCAGTGCACTCTTTAGAATATATGTATTTCTCCTATGAGAAGCATCATTGAGATCTTTATTTGGGAAGCAATTAGGTTGCAAATTGAAAACAGTTTCCAACATCATCACCAAACTGAAAATGCCAAGTTGTCTGAGTCTAATGTCCAGAAGTCATTGTGGCCCTGTGGTCAGTGTTCTGCATTAGGGATCCCTGCAACAGAGCTGAATTAAAGATGAAGCACAGTAACCCAACACCTGTGTCAATAAGGGTGGATAATTTCTAGGGTTCCACAACGGGCTGTCAGTATCTTTCTCATTATTCCCCCAGCCTTTGTTTCACAGCCCAGTGGCTTCAGTCACTATGTCCATTTTCTTATCTCTTAAGGACTGTTCAACTCATTATATTTGGTTGCTTTCCCCATCCTACCCTAAACTGTTGTTATATAAGATCTTCTAAATTACCTTTCACGGCTAAACCCTGCAACTTCAGTCCTTGTCTTACTTGCTTTGTTGGCGTGTGTTATCACTGTCACTTTTCCTCTTGATTTTCCCTCCTCTGCTGGTTTTCCTTGTACCTCTTTGTCAGTGCATTGTTCTGCCCACCCTTGCAGGTTAGTGTGTCTTAACATACCATTCCTGACTCTCTCCTACTTTGTTCACTTTCTATGTCTACAACTGCAGTCACTCTTCCCTTGTGAATCCCAAAGCCTTGTCTCCAGTCCAGATTTGTTTCCTGAGTTCCAGACCCTGAGTTCCAAATGCCTCAACATTTCCATGTAGGTATTTCATAGACATCTCCTACTCCACATGTCCCTCCCTTCTATCATCTCTGTGTTTTTCCCCACCCTATTTCAAAGCAGGACCACAATCCATTTGGGAGCCAAAGTCAGAAATCTTGGAGTCATCCTATCGTCCTCCTTTCCCCTCACTCCTCATGTCTTCACCAGCAGGTCCTGCTGATTTTACCCCACTAGCATAGCTTTGGTAGCGGTGTCATCTCTTGTCCTTTCCTTGCCCACATCAGTTACCTTGTCCTGCCTGGGCTGTTATAGTAACCTCCTACCTGGTCTTCTGCTTCCAGTCTTTTTTTTTTCCATTCATTTGCTGCCAGTGAGTTTTAGCTGGAGTGACCATCTGATCATGTCAGATGGTCGCTCCTCAGCTTAAACTATTGGTGGCTCTCTCTTGCCCTGGGGGGAGTGTAAACTCTCCAGTGTCCCAGTGCCTTTGTGACTAGCACTTTCCTGCCTTTGCACCACATGCCCCCTGGCTTGTGTGTGTTTTGTAACCCAGCCATTTTGTACGGATAGTTTCTTGAATTCACCATATCCACATTAGTCATGGTTCTCTGGAGAAACAGAACCAGTGGGATGGATGGATATGGATATATATATATGTGTGTATATATATATAGAGAGAGAGAGAGCGCGCTATTGATTGATTGATTGATTGATTGATTGATTTGAAGGAATTGGTTCATGTCATTGTGGGGGCTGGCAAGTCTGAGATTTGCAGGGCTGGCTGGCAAGCTAGAGACACAGGAAAGAGTTGATGTTGCAGCTCCAGTCCAACATCTAGGCCGCTTGGAGGCAGAATTAGTTGTTCCTCCTGGGTAATGTCTTTGAGTGGATGAAGCCCACTCACATTGTAGGGAGTATTACTCAGTGTACTGATTTAAATGTTAATCACATCTAAAAAATAGCCTTCAGAGCAACATCTAGGCAGGTGTTTGACCAAGTCTGGTTGGCATATCCTAGTTAGCACACAAAATTAACTGCCTCACTGTCTTTCTCAATGTTGCTCGTGTTTGTATCTGTCCAGATTTCCCCCACACCTACTGTGGTGCCTACTGACCGCCTGGAAACCTGCCACTCATCCTGTGCTCCACTCTCAGCCTGCCCTGACCTTCTCAAGCAGCACAGCATTTCTTAGTACAGCATTTCCTTTTTTTGTTCCTAATTGGCTGGTAATTGCGTCTATTACAGTATTCCCCCTTTGCTGTGAGTATTCTTAAATTGCCTAACAGAATCAGTATGCCTCAAGGACCAAGCTTCTATTGTTTACATTCACCAGTGCTTAAGCACCTGATGAGTACCCAATAATTGTGTAATGAGGCACCGAATGAATGGAGACATTTGGGCCAAAGGGTCGGAGATAAGCAGTGAGAATGGAAGCAGTTGAGGGAGAAAGCAGAGGTTTTGGAGCCATTTGGAATTGGAGGAATCCCATTCACTGCACCAGGGTGTGGTCTCTAACCCCAGGAGAGCATTTTAGACGCCTAGGGAAAGCAGCTCTGCAGTCAGATTGACAGGATCGGAGTAAACCTCTGAGAAGCTCCAAAACTCAATCCCAGATCATACTTCTTACAGTGAGTGCTGGTCTAATGATTTCCATAGAATTTGCATCGTAATTTGGTGACAGTGTGTAAAAGCTGTCATTATCAGACTTCAGCATACTAGTCGCTTCCAGCTAATCACCTCCATGCAGGGGAGCCTAGACTGAAACATTGTTGCTTTTCATTATTTTGGAGAATAATTTAGGTAGAATTACTGTTTAATTTTTGTATTTCCTATTTAAGAAAACCTGTTTCTTTACGGCCCTTTGACTTTCATTTTCTCTTTTTCTTCCCACTGACCTGGCGGCTTCTTAAAGGGGCAGCACCAAGTTTCCTGTTGCCCCTGTGGGCAGTGGCCACAGATTGTCTTCTTTTTCTTCTTTTATACCCCATGGCACATTCTGAGAGTATTTTCTTTTTTCGTTGTTGTTTGTTTTCTTTTTGCTTGGGACTGCTATAATGTGAATATGATATTCTCATTAATTCATTTACTCATGTTGCAAAATTCACTAAAATCCCTTTGTTAAAAGAACATTTTAAGGCCGGGCATGGTGGCTCACTCCTGTAATCCCAGCACTTTGGGAGGCCGAGGCAGTCGGATCACGAGGTCAGGATATGGAGACCATCCTAGCTAACACGGTGAAACCCCGTCTCTACTAAAAATACAAAAAATTAGCCGGTCGTGGTGGCGGGTGCCTGTAGTCCCAGCTACTCTGGAGGCTGAGGCAGGAGAATGGTGTGAACCCGGGAGGCCGGGAGGCGGAGCTTGCAGTGAGCCGAGATTGCGCCACCGCACTCTAGCCTGGGTGACAGAGCAAGACTCCGTCTCAAAAAAAAAAAGAACATTTTAGATGACACTACTTTAAGTAATGTAATATTGTGTTTAAGGGAGCTTGATTAAAATAATAAAATGCAATTGAAGTCAAAACAGATGGATAAATCATGATATTACAAGTGAGAACTGGAATTCTACGTGAAGCCAGGAATAAAGCTGAGAGGTAATCTTTGAGCCACAATTTTGTGTTTTTTTGTTTATTTGTTTGAGATTGGGTGTTGCTTCTTGCTCTGTTGCCTAGGCTGGAGTACAGTGGCTCCTGTAACCTCAAACTCTTAGATTCAAGCAATCCTCCCACCTCAGTCTCCTGAGGAGTACATTACTTGTGGTAATGTACTACAGGTGTACATTACCATGCCTGGCTAATTAAAAAATTTCTGTATAGACGGGGTCTTGCTGTATTCCCCACGCTGGTTGTGAACTCCTAATCTCAAGTGATCTTCCCACGTTGGCCTCCCCAAATGCTTGGATTCCAGGTGTGAACCACTGTGCCTGAGCTTGTACATCCCTTCTTAGAAGGCCACAGCTTTATTACCATTATCAAACAGGGACATACAAGTACAGGTTGAGTATCCCTTATCTGAAGTGCTTGGGAGCACAAGTGTTTCAGATTTTTTTTTTTTCCGATTTTGAAATATTTTCATATACGTAGAGAAATGTATATACAAATCTTGGGGGTGGGACCCAAGTTTAAACATGAAATTTGTTTATCTTCATATATACCTTAAACACATAGCCCGAAGGTAATTTTATACAACACATTAAGTAATTTTATGTGTGTAGCAAAGTTTGTGTACATTGAACTGTCAGAAAGTGAAGGTGACTCTATCTGAGCCACCCATGTGGACAGTCTGTAGTTGTCTGGCATCCCCATCCTTCTTGAGGCTGAATTTATATGCTACGTATAAGCAATTATTGTCTCACATCTATTCACATTAAAGCACTTAACAGTAAAAAATATGACATGCCATTATTACAGCGAGAAAATAAGTGTCAGGGTAACCAAGCAGCACAGAGCATCACCAGACATCTGTACCAGCTGCTAAACCACAGCAACAGCACACAGCAG
Source organism: Homo sapiens (assembly GCF_000001405.40). NCBI lineage: Eukaryota > Metazoa > Chordata > Mammalia > Primates > Hominidae > Homo > Homo sapiens. The sequence continues at coordinate 2,220,323 of NC_000006.12, read as the reverse complement.
CAGGCTTTCCGTCTCCATCTGTGAGGCCTTGTGTTGACTAAAAGGTTACCGTACCTGTATCTTGTGTTTGGTGGGTGAAAAGAAACATCAGAAGTATTGAAGGACCGGGAAATTGAGTCCTCTAGGGATAAGGAGGCGTTCTGCTGGATGGCTTTTAAAGATGTTTCCTCCGGAGTCATCTGCCTCATTAGCCATGATTTTTGTCTTACAAGTCTTTGATTTTATACACTGACAGGATTTCATGTTTTATTGTGAATGCACACTGCCCTAGCCCTTGAATAAGCCCTTCACACATTTTCAACATGTTGTCTCTGGGCACTTTTTCTGCAGTGTTGACATCATCTTCATTGTCACCATTATAGGTTGAATATCCCTTATCTGAAATGCTTGGGACCAGAGGGGTGGAATTTTCCACTTCTGGTGCCATGTTGACACTAAAAAAGTTTTGGATTTGGGGACATTTTGGATTTTCAGATTAGGGATGCTTAACCTGTAGTTGTATAATTTATGACATTTGAAGAAAACGGAAGTGACCCGGCTGCTCAGGAGCAATATTCATGATACTGAAATCAGAGGGAATTTTTTTTTAAAGTTTCTGGTTTAAGTTGGTGCCCAGGAGGTGTGGTCTTTTAACTGGTGTGGTCGGTGCTCTGTTTGTTACTGGTCTGTGACAAGGTAAGTACAGAAAATGAGAGTAAATTTAGAAGCTTTTATAGCAAGTTCCTGAGACATTTACATCTAATCATTTTTTTTTAGTAACTCACCTTCAGTTGTATTTTACAAAAGAACCAGTTCATGATGGATTAGAAATTTAAAATGAGGATGCTGACAATAACTAGTTCTTTACTGCAGACAGTTTGAGAAGCACTGGTTTAGAGGATCCTGTGTAAAGTGATTACGAATATCGTCCATATAGTAAGTTCTATGTTGTCTTCTCACTTAACAGGATGCACTGTTGGCTGATGGCCTAATGACAGCATGCTCTTCAGCCAAACTGGTTCTGTAGGACTCAAGTTTCTACCCTCTCTATCATCTGGCTTCTATTTAGATTTTGCTTTATTTCCAAATTTTTATTTATCTTCTGGGTAGGTAATATATTCAGCTAATTTAAAATATAAAGATGCAAATGGGTATTCAGGTGAGTCGTCCTATGCCTGTCCGCCACCTCCCCATTTCCTCTTCTCAGAGGACCGACCTGTTGCCTGTTTACTTTCTTTTTTTGTTTTTCACACAGGGTCTTGCTCTGTCGCCCAGGCTGGAGTACAGTGGTATGATCGTAGCTCACTTCAGCCTTGACCTCCTGGGCTCAAGCGGTCCTCCCTCCTCAACCTCCCAAGTAGCCAGAACTCAGGCCTGAATCACTGTGCCCAGCCTATTTATTTATTAAGAGATTTTTAAAGAAATTCCTAATGCTTAGAATCTGTGAAAAAGCACAGGTGTTAGGTTAGCTCTTGGAACCTTGTGACCCTGAATAAACTTTAGCCTCTACAAACCTCAGTTTCATAATGTATAGAATGAAGATAATTAACTCTAATTTCAGGGTTGTTGGCACGTAACATAGCTCTCAATAAATGATCTGGTGATTGTAATCTGAAATACTTTAGAATGCACATTAAGATATATAGAAGATTCATAATTACAATTGTGCATATTAAATATATTTAATAATTATTTGGGAAAGATAAAAATTAAGATAATGTTCTGTACTCTCTGAGGTGAATTTTTAAAAATTGCTTATTTTCCATTGCAAGATGTAAAAGTGTGGTATCATAGTATATTTGCAAAAGTGAATCACTACTTTCTGGCAAAGACAGAGTGTCTTAGTCCAAGAAACAATATAAGGTGAAAAATTTTGTAATTTACGGATGATCTGATCTAACTGGTTTGTCCTAATTTTTCACTTCCGGTGGTCAAAGATATCTTCATCCCTTGTTTAAAACTTAGAAGGGAGGCAATTTCTGTGGACTTGAGGTGGAGAAAGATGGGGTTCCTTTTTGCTGTTTACTGCCTTGCTTTTCTTTCACCTGTGCATTTCCAGAGGTGAGTCTGGGTGTTGTCTTGGTATTCAGATGAGTTCATCGTAATCCTCAACTTTCTTCTCTTTCTTTTCCTCTTTTTCTCTGAGGTGTTCGCTCCAACTCTGCATATGTTACAAAAAGGGGAGTAAGTGAGAAAATGGTCAGGCTTGGGGTGGTGCTGGGGAAGCAGTGAGGAAAGGTGGTGAGGAGGTTTGGAAGGCGTTTTGGGGCTTAGGGGTACCCCCACAGGTGATCGTGAATACTCACTTGACAAACCACTTGTCAGCTCATTTGGAGCCCGAGAGCAGTTGTTTTCAGTCACTTTGTCCTTTAGACACTGGCAGAATAATTCCAGAGTCCAAATTAACTTGGGTAAAATACTGCTTGACTTTTTATTTTCTGGATCAAAACTAATCTTTTCTTTACTCCTTTAAAAGAAGGATGTGTAGGGCTGTTTCTTGGTAGGCTTTGGCTCCAGTTAACTCAGTTCATCCAGGGCTTTGGGGGGCACTGGGAGGCTTGGAGGGGAATGGGAGGGGCTTACTTACCTTTATTAAAGTGCCCTGATAGTTCAGTTATTAACATGCAAAGCCACTAATAGCAGCTGAAACATATTGAGTGCTTATATATACCAGGCCTTATGTGTGTTAAGATGTTTGCAAGTTTAATCTTCAGAAGATACCATCACTTTATAAGCTATTTGCAGCATTATTGTAAGCACATTTTGATGTTTACTATTTAAAACAGAGTTGGGAGGTGTTTCTCCTACCTTACCCCAGTAAAAGGCTTAGTTCAAAAGCAAGTTAATGAGATTATATGTGTTTCTCCCTTAAAGTTAAACAACAAACCACAAACATAAACCTTCACTTAATATTGAAAATATTATTACATGTCATATATTTTACTATATAAATATTAAGTTGTATTATTAAAGTATTATAGTATGTTAAAAATATATGGCAGCTCTCTATTACAGGCAAACACGTGTCCTGGTAATAGAACTGGCAGCTCTTGGTGTGGTGCAGAGTGAGGTGAGGGGAAATTAAGCAGGGCAGGCCAGGAAGCAGGGGAGGGTCAGGTGGGAGGGGGTGCAGCCAGGTGTCCCAGTGTGGGCTTCACAGAAACTGCTGTCTGATGATCTCTGTCCCTCTAGTGACCAATGCCAAGCTGCTTACCTGATGCTTACAGTTGAGAGCTGTGTTCTGAGCTGGGTGCAGAGCCAGCTCGAGTCCACGTGCTGAGCGCTCAGGCCAGGTGGGCGGCTGAAGCCAGGGCGGCTGCGGGAGGCTGGCAGGGAGGTCTGATGTGCGGGTCTCAGAATGGTGCAAACCTTGCCAAGTCTCGGGGAAGTGTCCTGGAGTAGGAACCACTGAGCTCCCTTTCCGTGAGGAGCCATGGGAGTTGGCTGCGAAAAGGGGTTGAGGTGCAGGGGCTGCTGCAGAGGCACCTGCCCAGGAGAGGCGGGTGGGAAGCAGCCAACTTAAAGCACTTTGGGGGTGTTTGGAGCACGTAAATGCAGTGTAAAAGGGATAGCACAAAGGGCTATGAAGAATCCTAGTGATTATATTACAGATGTGCTTCCTCCTTAGAAAATTTGTATGTGTGCAAGTTGATAGTTAAGCAGGTTTCAGTGACCCAGGCTGGCATTGAACTCCTGGGCTCAAGTGCTCCTCCTGTCTCAGTCTTCTGAGTACCTGAGACTGCAGGTGCGTGCTGCCACACCAGCTCAGACCTCTTTAACTGAAGTCAGGCTCTTTCCCACAAAGAAGTGTGAGTGCAGTTTACCCATGTGCACACGTGCTCACACACGCTTACACCTGCACACACCTCCATGTAATCTTAGAGGTTCATAGCACTCTGGAAACACATGCCTGTTACTCTGATTAAGGTAGAATCTGTTTCATACTAACTTAAGCCAGTAAAGATCATGTTTTTGTTAAAATGTTCAAAATAACTTATAATGTAGGAATTATGGAATGAGATTGTTAGTCTCTTCAATTGAGTTTAAACACATTATGTACATATTTCTGAACTTTAAATGCTGTGTAACTAGAAATCAAAATATCTTTCATTGTAACTCCTTAAGTAGCATATATTGTCCCCTTTAAAACTATTTAATCTAAAATCTTTTAAGTCTATATGCTGTCCTATTCCCAAAATGATTCAAGGCAGCCTTATTTATTTAAACTTTTTATTAAGGAAGTTTTCAAATATATACTGAAGTAAAAATCATAGTATAGTGAGCCCCCACATACCCATCCTCTAATTGTAATTATTAACTCATAGACAAATTTATTTCATATGTAGCTCTATGTTTCCGTGATCCCCTTCCAAATTTTTTACAGTAAATTCTGGTCACTGTATATGATTTCAGCTGTATTTATTATATTATATATCTTTAATTGGCTCTTTGAAAAAGTAACTACACAACCTTTATTGTATTTACTAAGTTAATAATAGTTTGTTAACACAATTAGATGTCTATCAATGTTCAGATTTCACTAATTGTCTCATAATTATTTTTAATAATTTGTTTGAATCAGGGTCCGAATAAGGTGATACATTAAATTGGTCAATGTCTCTTAGCCTGTCTTTAATTACCTCCTTTCCCCCTTCCTTCCTTTCCTTCCTTTCTCCTATTTTTCTTCCCTCCCCATCTCTTTCTCTCTTCTCCCTCTCTACTGTCTCTTTCTCCCTCCTTCCCCCACTGATATGGTTTGGCTGTATCTCTACCCAAATCTCATCTCGAATTATAGCTCCATTACTCCCACGTGTTGTGGGAAGGACCCGGTGGGAGATCACTGAGTCATGGGGGTGGTTGCCCCCATGCTGTTCTTGTGGTAGTGAGTGAGTCTCATGAGATCTGATGGTTTTATAAAGGGAAACCCTTTTGCTTGGCTCTCATTTTTCCTTTTGCTTTCTGCCATGATTGTGAGACCTCCCCAGCCATGTGGAACTGTGAGTTCATTAAACCTCTTTTTCTTCATAAATTACCCAGTCTGAGTTATGTCTTTATCAGCAGCTTGAAAACGGACTAATAACATCCTCTCTCTGTCTCTTTTTCTCTGTGTCTCTATCTCTGTATGTGTCTCTTTCTCCCTTCCCCATCCTCTCTTATAATCTGTTTGTTGAGGACACTGAGCCATTTGCTGTGTTTTGTTTCTTCCATAGTCTGAATTTGGTTATATTCCCAAAGTGTTCTTTTATCCCTTTATTTCCTGTAAATTGATGTTTAGATTTAAAGACTTAATCAGATTCAGTCTTGATTTTTCTTGATGTGGGGTGGAGACAAAAGTACTTCACAGTTGGTCTTAACGTACTTACATTAAGAAGCATGTGATGTCTTGGTTTTCTTCATGTAATATCAGCAACCATTGAAGATCATTCTCAAGATTATCCATTATTTCATTAGAAGTTGCAAAGTTGTGATAATCTAATTCTGTAGTTTTTTCTTCAGTGATTAGTGGAATACTTTTAAAAAGAGAAGCTCCTGCTGGATATGGTGGCTCTTGCCTGTAATCCCAGCACTTTGGGAGGCTGAGGAGGGAGGATCACTTGAGGCTATGAATTCAAGACTAGCCCAACCAACATAGTGAGACCTTGTCTCTTAAAAGAAAGAAAGAAAATTTATGTAAAAAAAGAAGCTCATAAGTGTAATCATTCCTTGGTATCCATGAAGGATAGATTCCAGGACCCTCGCAGACACCAGCATCCACAGATGCTCAAGTCCCTTAAATAAAATGGCATAATATTTGCATGTAACCTGCACACATTCTGCTATGTATGATAAATCATACTTAGATTACTTATAATATCTAATACAATGAAAATGCTATGTAAATAGTTGTTATACTGTATTGTTTAGGGAATAATGACAATAAAGGTCTGTACATGTTCATTACAGGTGCAAAACCATCCATTTTTTTTCCCTCATATTTTTGATCTGCAGTTGGTTGAATCCTCAATGAGGAACCGATGGATATAGGGGCCAACTGTATTCGGTTACTCTGAGGTATAGAAAAGGCAAAATAAATGATCAGTTATTTTTCTTTACCAGTTTTTAATGACTTGGTTTCATACCAATTTCCAATGGTGACTAATTTTGTTTTTAGTACCATTATGAATTCATGGAATGAAATATTGTTGATGTGTGTCAGTTGAAGCTTGTTGTCCTATTGTTGAAGTTCTAGTTGTCCTAATCTGTGAACCTTTCCATTTGGCCTCTGTGTCCTTTTGATACAGGCTTGATAGTCTTTGCTTCATTGCTTTCTGGTATGACAAGAGGATTCATACATTTTTCCTGCACCAGATCTGGAATCAGCTCTTTTTCTAAGGAGCCCAAAGGCAGGTTTATTTTAATTTTGAAAATATTTAAATGAAAAATTAACACTCCGTAGGTCATCTTGACGTTGCTGCTAAAGTACTTGTTTTAGTTGTTGCCTCAAAGTATGTAAGGAACATTACCTTGTTCACTTTTTCATTTAATCAGAAACTCTGAAGAGTGTTAGTTTACCCCTTCTCCCCCTTAAGCTTGAATTCTAGCCTTCGTCCTCCTATTCTCATAGACCCCACTGTGCTTTCTTCTGGTCCTGCTGTGTCCTCTAATGCTCGCTGATTGGTATTCTCCTTATGTGGGTTAGTTTTTAAAGGGTGCTCTTCCTAGCTGCCCTGCACTGAAGCACGGCCCAGCAATCTGCTCTGGGACTACCCTTGTTTTATTTTTTTACTCCGTATGTGCCCCTCCTTCACCCCAAACTATAGTAGAACTGTTTTGTGTACCTTTATGACAAAATCAATTTGTATTTTATTTGCTCTCCTTTTTCAAAGTGAGTTTACATCAAATATCCCATTTAATTCCTACAACTGCTTTGTCAAGACCATTGGGTCTGTATTGTTATTTTCATGTCACAAATGAAAAAGATTGAAACCCAAAGAGCTTAATGGGCCTAAGGTCCCACCATTAGTAAATGACAGATTAATGAGCAGCTGGAATTAGAATTTAGAGCTGCAGAGTCCACCCCCACTGCCAGGTTTCACCAACTACCATAAATCAAGGGATTCCTTGCTACGTATTTTGAGGGACTCTTGAGTCAGGACAGTCTAAAAAGGCTTCCCTCAGTGATATTTGCCACCTGTGGTGAGCTTTTGCTGTGGATTACAGTTTTATGATTTCTAATACTGTGGACAGAGATCAGCAGTGAGAGCCCACGCCCCCTTTATTGAATTCAAAAATACTGGGACAAAAATAATGTACAGTAGGGGGCTAATTTTGATTTCCCTGTCCCTAAGGTTCCTAAGCCACCTAGAAAGGGAGTAACCTTAGGGGATACAAGTTAAGTAAAAGAATGCCATGGGCATACAGAAGAAATGATAAGAAAAGGTGATATTTTTCTTTTTAAAGACTTAAACTGATTATTTTTTACAGGAGTAACCATTCAGAAAATACTGCCCTTTTAAGCTTTCCAGAGGATGACACACGCTCTTATGGTTTATAGTCAGAATCCATGTCGAGCTGCACATGTGAAAAATGAATGTCATGTTGTTTTCAAGTAGTAAGCTCAATGTTTCTAATTTAGTTTTTTTTTTTTTTTTTTTTTTACAAGTTAATCTAATTTTGGTATAAGTGGAAAAGTTGATAATTAAAGAAAGCAGGTCCTTTCTAACACAAAGACCACTAAGGATGTTTTCTCCAGCAATTCTTAATAACTTTATAGTTTTTATTCCCTTGCAAAACATGGGTTTGGGGCTGTGCAGTTAGAGAATATGTATTGTTTAAGTGTAAATTTTAAGCACATAAGGAATATCCTATAACTTGTATTATTATCTAAAAATTGTTGTAATGTTTTTGAGGTTTTGTCCTGTTGATTTTTTTGTTGCTCTTTCTTTTTAGGAAAAATTCTTTGAAATGTTGGTCCTGCAATGCTCGCTGCTTGAAGCAGTGTTTTGTCTAAGCTTGGGTGGATTCTGAATTGTTAACATGTCTGTATGCTTGCCTGCTTAAGTTTTTGACAAAGACCTTCTTGAACTCTTAACTTTCCCAAGTAGAAAATAACAGTAGAGCCACTGCAGGAGTTAGTTGAGATATTGCTATTTTATAATTGAATTCATATGTTAAAAGCTCCAGGTTTGAAGTAGTATAACTTTTCTTTATCATATCACAAAATATCACATCTACTTGGCTTCTTAATCAATTGAATTACAGAGAAATGTAACACAGGTTCTAAATTAAAAACAAATAGGTACTATGACATTAAAATTCCCTGCACAGTTATACTATATTTACTTACTTGAATGAACTGTAATTAAAAAGAGATGGGTTAAATTATTACCAATTGTTGAAGGTTTAGTTAAATTTTAGGTGACGAAACTGTGAAAAGGGATAGGAAAGTCATATTTTTGGAAGGCTTTTATGTATAATGTCTTACAAGAGTACCTAGTTCCTACTTTGGCTCACCTAAAAGACTGGAAGTCGTAAACTTGGTAACATTGTTTTCAAATTGAATAAATATTTCATGGGAATTTAGAATTCTGGGCTCATTCTCACTAATGTCTGTTTTCTGACCCTACGGCATAGATTATTTAAAAACTACTAACATGAAATACGTATTTTTTCCTGCCTTACGTGTTCTTTGGGAGTTAAAAAATTTTTTCTAGTTATTTTTGGTGGGGAAGATCTTGCTACAAAGAGGAGTGAGACTATTTGAGCATTTCAAATAGACCTATTTGAGCATCCTTTTGGTTTATTTTGAACATCTTTTGATGTAGGGTCTATTTTTTAAAAAAACATATAGGGCAGATGTTACTATTAATTAGTCTTATCTAAAGTTTAACATGCAAATTAGAGAATTGTAGGAGAAAGTAATTGAAAGTGTTATACACATTAAAAATAAGCAGATGTCATTTGGAAAACAAATAGATACTTGAGATTATTTTATTACTTCTTCAGCAGGTATTTGCTGAACACCCACTATGTTCAGGTGGGAATGAACGTGGTAGACATGGCCCCAGACGTCAAGTACGTGTGTAAGGGGCGTTAGTAATGCACATCCCCAAAAAACATTCCTCTTACTCTTCTAGTGTGGTGGCAGAGGAAAGACAGAAGTAAACAAACCAGAGCTGTTTTGGGTAATCACTGTGTTAGTCCGTTCTCACACTGCTATAAAGAGCTACCTGAGACTGGGTAATTTATGAAGAAAAAGAGGTTTAATTGACTCACAGTTATGCAGGCTGTACAGGGAGTATGCCTGGGAGGCTGCAGGAAACTTGCAATCATGGTGGAAGGGCGAAGGAGAAGCAAGCACATCTTCACATGGCATCAGAAGAAACAGTGAAGGGAGAAGTGCCACACACTTTTAAACCATCAGATCTCATGATAACTCATTATCACGAGAACAGAAAGGGGGACATCCGCCCCCATGATCCAATTATCTCCCACCAGGTCCCTCCCTCAGTGCTGGGAATTACAATTCAACATGAGATTTGGATGGGGACACAGAGCCAAACCATGTTAGTCACTAAGTGCCGTGAAAGGGATGAACTACATGTGGTGTGATAGGGCAGAGGGTGGGTGTAGACCCTCCAGGTGCCGTGCCCAGAGATGCGGGTTCAGGAGGAGACACCACTGCCCATGGCCCACCTCTGTCTGTCTCTTACCCCACCTTGGGAGTAAGCAGACCTTTCCTGGGAGCCCCTAGCTGATTTCCTTTCCCACCTTGGGAGTAAGCAGACCTTTCCTGGAAGCCCCTAGCTGATTTCCTTTCCTGTCTCATTGGTCTGAAATGAACCCCATACTCATGTCTTAGCCCGTCCATTCTCGAGGCACTCCTGGGGCTGCGTTACACCAGGAAAGGATGGGTAAGCACATTGGGGATTTTGTTAGATAACTTGGTAGTTAACAAACCCTGACCACTACAGGTTTTCTTAATAATAGGTAAAATATATTGAGCACTTACTATTTGCCAGGCTAAGTGTTCTAAGTATTTTATGTGCATTATGCCATTTAATCCTTTTAACAGTGTGCTAAGGTAGGTGCAGAAACTGAGGCTTATGGAGATGAACTTGGCCTGCCTTGTGTGGTGGACCTGGGATGCTAACTGGGCACTCTGGTTTCAGAGCTTGCATCCTTAAAATGCAATCTGTGGAAAGTAGGAAATAGATTTTTGAAATATTCTGTACAAATTTGTTGATTATAATAAAGGCACTCAGGAGCTAAATTGGTTACTTTCAGTAGCTAGAAAATTTATTTATATGAAGCTTTGTTTTCTCTAGTGTAGAATAGTGATTATCTTTTTCACTAATTACATACAACAGAATATATCACCTTTCTATATGTTAAGGCTGTCTTGTTTACGGATCATTTCACGCTAGGTTTTGGGTCCTTTGGGTAAGGAGTGTGTGTTCTATCTTCCTGTGCCTGGCAGCCATGGTAGTGTGAGCTGGGCTCTGTTAGCCTCTTGGTTTATCTGAAACAGCTTAAGAATCTGTCTTAAGCCTAGCATTAAACATTGTGGTAAATCGTATTAGAACCCCGAAGATAGATTTTCCTCCCAATTTTAAAATTATTTTTTCTTACGTGTCCTTTTTTAGGGCCACTTACTGGCTTCTAGAGGTTTTATAAATGCACGTTTGATAATGCTAAACATAGGTAAAATAAGCAGAAGTTTTCTAGAATTCAGTCCAGAGAGAGAGAGAGAGAGAGAACGTGTGTGTGTGTGTGTGTGTGTGTGTGTGTGTGTATGTGTATGTGTATGTATGTGTATTAGAGATACATTACATGCAAGGTTTGACTTGGCACTTGAAAACTGACAGCAGGTGTGTGAGTACCCACTGTGGTCAAGGCATCTTGGCTAACACCTGCCTATTGTGCGGGACTACTCCCCCTGCAGGGGGAAGGTGAGCTAGTCAGCCAGTTCTGGCATTTGCCATTGAGCTGAGGCTGCTTAAAACATCAGATCTGCAGAGTACATTGTGTTCAGTGGCCCAGACTTTTTTATTTCCTTAACTAGTAGCCTCTACCCCCACAGTATGTACTAATTTCAGGTTCACTGTGGGGCAACCAGTGCTCTTATTTTTTCAACCAAGTGTATTTTGGGTTCCCATCATTTAAAATAAAGGATATTTTAACACCAGAATAGTTAGGAAGTAATCTCAAAAGATGTTATAAGAAGTCTGATTATGGAGTCATGGGCTTATCTAATAAATCTTGATTTCTTTTTTTATTTTGCAATGCCCTGCTGAACACTTAACCATGTGCTGTTAACATGAAGGAGGTGGGGATCCAAAACAGTTTTCTTGAAGTGATGGAAGAGGTTTCTAAAACTGAGCTTGAGAATTAAGTTTGGTAATATTCTTGCTCTTATGCTTGGACAGGACAGCTTGGGTCAGACACGTAGTTGTTACCTGTGCTACTGATGAGAACATTAGATTGCCTAATAGTTTTTTTTTTTTTTTTAATGTAGCCCACTGTACCGGCCTTAGAATTCAGTTAGTGATAATCGTTTAGCAAAATGTGTTTAACTTGAAGAAAATAGTAAAACATGCTCTTTCTAAAATTATGGCTTCTCAAATTACCACATCTTGGGCAAGCTATTTTCTAAAGTGCTTTTACTTTCCTTCGGGTATTTCAGCTACATTGAGCTCTTCCACAGTTTGGGCTGCCATAAATCTATGGGAAAGTGTTTTGAATAATTATGCAGACAGTTTCTTAGAAGCATCTAACATATGTGGGCCTCCATCAGTACCACCTCTTTGTGGCCCTGCAAGCTGTGGGAAAATTGTCTGTACAGCTTGTATATAATACTCTACAATTTTCCTGTGACTGTAAAAAGTATGGACTGGCGATCAGAAATAGTAGCTTCTGTTTTTAGCTTTGCTATGATTTGATATTTATCCTTAGGTGAGTTGCTTAGCCTTTCTTTGTGACAATTGTGTCATCTGTAAAACGGAATATTGAATGTAGATAAGCTAACTGCACTGTTCAGCTGTGATGCAGCTGGTAACAGAACAAGTCTCCTGAAAATGATGGATAAATCTTTTCTAATCTAAACTGCTCCAGCAGCAGTTTTGGGTGATGGCGTAAACTTGAGGGTAGAAGCCAGATATAGAAGGAGGCTACCTAGGTCATTGATTATCGTTGACCCCGTAATCAGCAGTTCTTGACTGGCTACCATCAGACTTCTCTTACATGATGTGTGTTGGGTTCTAACTTATGCACAGCTTCACCTAATCCTAACAGAGTAAAGCTTATGTTTTCATGACCTTATAAGTAAAACTTTTCTAATCTGGGAAGGGAATACCTGTCTGCCTTTTCCACCTCATCTTTCCTGACTGGGTTTTTCATATGCCTGGAAAAAGCTACTAACTTGGCAAACATATATATGCTTAATTTCTTGGTTCTCAAGATCCTGTTTTAGAGAAATCTTCTCAATATTTTCCTGTTGAGAGGAATTTACTGTGTCCCTTAGTTATTAAGAAAATTGCCTGTGGCCATGTTAACCTTACAGTCTTCCCTGCAGAAACTTCAAATGGGCAGGACTGTAATTTCCAGAGGGGAAGGGGTGATCTAAAATGAGAATCACTTTTATTTTTACGTAACAATAGGCGAATTGCTCTTAGGGGTAGTATTCATTCCTTCAACAAATATTTACTGAGCATCTGCTAGGTGCTAGGAACAAAACCGTCCTAGGAACAATGCAGACAAGTTAATGGGCAATTTGAATCCAATACAGATTTTGTAAGTTTGATTACAATTCTAAACTCTAATGTTATAAGCTCAGTAGTTTGTTGTCATTGTGGCATGGACAACCAGTTAGTCTTCACTTCCTCCTTAAAAATACAATCCCTATATTATTTGGGGTGAACACTGAGCTTAATTAAATGATGACATTTTCCAGCTTCCTTAGCAGTAAATGTGACTGTGATTCAATTCTGGCCAATGAACATAAGTGACAGTGCTTTGTGGAACTTCTGGAAAGCCTGCTTAAAGGAAGTTGAGAGTTGGGAGACATGTCCCCTGTGCCTTTACCTTCTGCTTTTCTGTTTCTTGGTACATGGATGTGATGTCTGGAGCTCCAGCAGCAGTTTTCATTGGTGACATAAACTTGAGGGTAGAAGCCAGATATAGAAGGAGGCTACCTAGGTCATTGATTATTGTTGACCCCGTAATCAGCAGTTCTTGACTGGCTACCATCAGACTTCTTTTACATGATGTGTGTTGGATTCTAACTTATGTGCAGCTTCACCTAATCCTAATAGAGTAAAGCTTATGTTTTCATGACCTTATAAGTAAAACTTATGTTTTCTCTGACCTCATGGCATGGCTGTGAATACCACCACTAAGACTTCTGGGAGTGTGGTTTTCAGTAGTTCACCCCTGTGCTTATTCTCCCTTCATGGCTCTGATGGACTGCTGGAGTAATTTCAGATAACAGGTAAGGACATCCTCAGACTAAGGAATATCATCTGTACTGTTCCTAAACAAATATACCTGGAAATACTTTAAAGCAGTGGTTCCCATAGTGTTTCCTCAGATCAGCAATACCGGCATCAATCTGGGAATTTGTTTGGAATCTTAGGCCCACATTTTGACCTACCAAGCCAGAGCTCTGAGGGGTGGGGCCCAGCAGTCTGAATGAGTGACTTGGATGCAGCCTAAAGTTTAAGAACCACTGCTATATGGTCTTCTGCATCTTGATACTCAAAGTGGTATATGAATATGAGGTTGGTCAGGTGACAGTGATGGTTGAGTTTGACAAAGTTGATGAAAATAACCACTTGGACTCTGTTCAACTTGTTTCCTCTTATTTACTACTGAATGGACAAATGAATACATCAAAAGATGCATGAATTCATGCAAGAGACAAGTAGACCTATGAAGGAGTGGGCATAGGTCTTCAGTGCCTCCTAGAGCCTCCCAGAGGCACCCCTGGAGTCTGACCACACTCCACTTGGGTTGAGAACCCAGAAGCATCCGATATTAAAGATAACAACACTTTGCTTGAATGGGAAAACTCATTTCAGAGTTGGATGTCCGGGCTTTTTTTTTTCTTGAGATGGAGTTTTGCTCTTGTTGCCCAGGTTGGAGTGCAATGGTGTGATCTTGGCTCACCACAACCTCTGCCTCCCGGGTTCAAGCGATTCTCCTGCCTCAGCCTCCTGAGTAGCTGGGATTACAGGCATGTGCCACCACGCCCGGCTAATTTTGTATTTTTAGTAGAGACATGATTTCTCCATGTTGGTCAGGCTGGTCTCGAACTCCTGACCTTGGGTGATCTGCCCGCCTTGGCCTCCCAAAGCGCTGAGATTACAGGTGTGAGCCACTGCACCCAGCCGTCTGTGCTTTTATACTGCCACCAAACTGTTACAGTGAAAAATGGACAAGTTGCTTGAAAAAGGACAACCAGCCTAAACTGACTTATCATGAAACAGAACACACGTGTGGTAGCATATCTATTAAAGAAATTGATATCATTATCAAAAACCTCTCTGTCACACTTACACACAAAAGCCTACAACACCCCCCTCCCCCCCCACACACACACCCTGAAGGCTTGGACTGAAGAGTGAAAAAGAGTCCAACTTGTAGCAATCTGTGGGGGTAGATGGAAGAGATGGAAGCAGAGATGCAGTGGCTCCAGCATAAGAACTTCTTTGGTAACATCTCTGCATATCGCAAGGGCTGCATTGTGCAGGACTTGTAAGAATGTAGGCATTTGGATGTCATTCTAATTGGAATCGGAAACAAATGGGAGCTATTAAATAGAAAAGAATTAGGATCTGATTTGTGATGTAATCCTCATTCTGGCAGCTTTATAGAAGCTACTCCAGAGGGCCACGCTGGAAGAAGGGAGACCAGTTAGGAGGCTGTTAGAATAGTCTGGACACAAGGACAGTGTGCTTTGGATTAGAGGACATGGTAAGAAGGCGGCAGGATGTGTGGGATTTGCTACAGGATTGAACTTAAGGAGATGAACTTTTCAATGGGGGAGTTTTATATGCAACTAATGGTGAACTTAGGTAGAGGATGGGGAATAGTAGCATTTAAAAGCAAAGAACATACAGCTCTGGGTTGATTGCTTCAGCTTTGCAACTATCCACTGATAACTTGGCTTTAACCAAGTTATGCTGTATCTTCAAAATTTTCATTTGTAAAATGGTGTTATTAACATCCACCTTTGGGATTGCTGAGAGAATTAAGTGAGAAAAACTCTGTTAAAGGGTTTAGGACAATATCCAGCGACAGCAAATGCTCAATAAATGTCATAATTATTTTTCTTTGTAAAACTTTAGACGTAAAAAAAATTCAATATTAGAAAAAGTTCTTCATCAAACCACACATAGTATAGATTGACTTTTGTTACAGAAACAAATGGTATTCATAAATTTTAGCATTATGGTAATTATGTAGGAGATAACAGAAAAATGGCCCCTAACACAAGCATGGGCTTAAAAAAGAGTGCTGTGGTCAAGTTGTGGAGCTAAATAGTTTGCCACCTTTTACCAGTAGGCGAAAGGGACATTATATGATGATCCTTGGTCTTGTAAACTGGTCAAAACCATCAGTGATAAAGGTAACCTGTCCACTAGGGAAGTGCTGGCCAATAAAATTTTCTGCAATGATGGGAATGCTCCGTTCTGCACCATCTGAAATAACAGCCTCTAGCCACGTGTAGTTATTGAGCACTTGAAATATGACTGATGCAATTGCACAACTGAATTTCTAATTTTATTTCATTTTAATTGATTTAAGTAGCCACTTGTGGTTAGTAGCTACTGTATTGAATAGCACAGCTCTGGAAGGTGAGCTTGTAAATGCAGGGACTTCGTATCATAACACTGTCCCTACATGCCTAAAGCAGCATTTGGCACATGAGCAATATTTGGTAAATATTAGTTGAATGAGTGAAAGGGTATCCTTTACACATAAGGGATGTATGCAGGAAGATAGTAAATGGAATCATTGCTATTTAATTGTTGCATTACAGTAGTAGAGGGATGAGAGAGCATTGGACAAGATTTGGGGGAAGAAGGGAGATGACAAAGTGGGCAGGAGCACTTCTTGGTAAAAAAATTAACTCTACCTGTGGAAAGGCAAACATAAAGAGGGCCGGGAAAATGACCCGATCACAGACCAGCCCACAGCTGTGGTGATTGATGATGTATACTTGGCATGTAGAGAAAATGGTGTGAATCTTAACCCTATCCCTAACCCTATCAAAATAAAGACAACTAGGATGCTAGTTTTGTAGTTTCCTGAAATAAGTTTCCTTAAGAATGTTAGTCACCCAAATTAAGAAAATTTGTAAAGTCAGGTTTTCCAGAGATACCTCTGCTTAGCTTCAAGGGAAATCACACCCTCCCACCCTCAATTAAGGAAAACGTTAAATGCTGATGTATGTTGGTCTACAATAATCTTTAGTCTTACAAAATGCCTTTTTCCATGTGAAATCGTGTGATCATTTACAGTTTTCATTCCCTGTGCTATTGCGATGATGTTTCACCTGCCTTCCTCCCAGCCTACAGCAAGGTTTTCTACTAAAATGTACCCACCTGTGAAGAAAACCTGGTAGAGTTATTGGAATCAGCGTAAACTACTTATATTTCTTTGGTATACCAGTTAGATTCTATTTTAAAAACACATTTTTTTTTCGTAGTGTTAACCACTGTCTCCAAATCATTACAGAAAACATTGTTTTAAAAGTTATTTAAAAAATCTGGACACATAAAAAAAAAATCATAGCCTAAATGTCACACCAGTATTCACACTGTGCTTCCACAGTGGGCCTACTGTACTGTCCAAAGAAACTTGGCATTTTGTCTAAGAATAAGTCAATAACAGGAACTCCATCATAAATGCCCTGGTTTCCTGCTAATACAAGACTCTCAGCTGCTGACTCTCACTAGGCAGGAGCATACAAGTTTAAATAACAGCTGGCAGCAAAGCCCGACAGGGAAGGCCGTATTATTTTTAAATTGGAGAATTGTTTTTCATAAGTTTCTTACATATTTTTTTTCCAATTTTACCATCATTTTTCATTTCAAAATTGAATAAATGTCCTCAAAGTGACAGGAAAAACTACATTGAATCAATAAACGTTAACTACCCCCCAACCCCCCAGTGGCCTAAAGTAACTCCAGTACATAAGCATCGGCCTTTTATTAATTGGACAAGCCTTCAAAAATGAGGAAAAGTAATTTATGTTGGCAATTTGATTAACAGGCTTCCTATGAACACACATTCCTGTAAAGTTAACAAGTATGAGCCATTCAAGACACACCAAGAACGGTTCTTAGAAACCTTGCAAATGAAAATGTGGCAGGATACTTCTGGCCAAAGGGGGTGCACAGCCCAGACCCAGGCGCCTTTATTGCTTGATTCAGGGTGACTTTCTGCAGACCCTGTCAAGTGTAAGATGCCATGACTGCTTCTTTAGGACCAAGCTCACAATCTGGAACCTTCTTTGTTTCCGTCTCTGCTCCATCCCCTCTCTCCACTGTGGTCCAGAACCAGGGTCATAGCTTATCTTTATTGCAGCAGGAGGCATTTCAAGGCAGAAACAGCCCATTCTATCCAGGTAAACCACAACAGACGTGGCATCATGTCAGATTCAATAGCTCTTTCATGCAGTAGCTCCCTTCCCTTGCCAGGACATAGGCCACGAGGCCAGTCTCTGAGCCTATGAGCTACCGTGACTGTTCCCACCTTACTCAGTTTCCATCAATTAACTCCATTCTCTTCCATCAGCCTGTCCCCTCCTCTGCAACTGAGGCACGGAGAGAATTAAGAGGTTGTCAAATAAGCATTTGAGTTGAAACCAGACATGTAAGCATATCAATGTCAGAGAAGATTGTATCTGTAAAAAAAAAAAAAAATAGAAAGAAATTGGCAGCAGTCTTACTCGACTGTGCTTACTCGACTGTGCAGTGAGGACATGCTGCCCTCACTGCCTAGATGGTTTCATCTCGGATGTGCATGTGGTGTTCTGTCTTCATCCTTCGCCTCTCTGCTAACATGCTGCCCTCACTGCCTAGATGGTTTCATCTCGGATGTCCATGTGGTGCTCTCTCTTCATCCTTCACCTCTCTGCTAACATGCTGCCCTCACTGCCTAGATGGTTACATCTCGGATGTCCATGTGGTGCTCTCTCTTCATCCTTCACCTCTCTGCTAACATGCTGCCCTCACTGCCTAGATGGTTACATCTCGGATGTGCATGTGGTGCTCTCTCTTCATCCTTCACCTCTCTGCTAACGCGCTGCCCTCACTGCCTAGATGGTTTCATCTCGGATGCCCATGTGGTGCTCTCTCTTCATCCTTCACCTCTCTGCTAACATGCTGCCCTCACTGCCTAGATGGTTTCATCTCGGATGTCCATGTGGTGCTCTCTCTTCATCCTTCACCTCCCTGCTAACATGCTGCCCTCACTGCCTAGATGGTTTCATCTCGGATGCCCATGTGGTGCTCTCTCTTCATCCTTCGCCTCTCTGCTAACATGCTGTCCTCACTGCCTAGATGGTTACATCTCGGATGCCCATGTGGTGCTCTGTCTTCATCCTTCACCTCTCTGCTAACATGCTGCCCTCACTGCCTAGATGGTTTCATCTCGGATGCCCATGTGGTGCTCTCTCTTCATCCTTCACCTCTCTGCTAACATGCTGCCCTCACTGCCTAGATGGTTTCATCTCGGATGTCCATGTGGTGTTCTGTCTTCATCCTTCACCTCTCTGCTAACATGCTGCCCTCACTGCCTAGATGGTTTCATCTCGGATGCCCATGTGGTGCTCTCTCTTCATCCTTCACCTCTCTGCTAACATGCTGCCCTCACTGCCTAGATGGTTTCATCTCAGATGTGCATGTGGTGCTCTCTCTTCATCCTTCACCTCTCTGCTAACATGCTGCCCTCACTGCCTAGATGGTTTCATCTCAGATGTGCATGTGGTGCTCTCTCTTCATCCTTCACCTCTCTGCTAACATGCTGCCCTCACTGCCTAGATGGTTTCATCTCGGATGCGCATGTGGTGTTCTGTCTTCATCCTTCACCTCTCTGCTAACATGCTGCCCTCACTGCCTAGATGGTTGTTACATCTCGGATGTCCATGTGGTGCTCTCTCTTCATCCCTCACCTCTCTGCTAACATGCTGCCCTCACTGCCTAGATGGTTTCATCTCGGATGCTCATGTGGTGCTCTCTCTTCATCTTTCACCCCTCTGCTAACATGCTGCCCTCACTGCCTAGATGGTTTCATCTCGGATGCCCATGTGGTGCTCTGTCTTCATCCTTCACGTCTCTGCTAACATGCTGCCCTCACTGCCTAGATTGGTTCATCTCGGATGCCCATGTGGTGCTCTGTCTTCATCCTTCATCTCTCTGCTAACATGCTGCCCTCACTGCCTAGATGGTTACATTTCGGATGCCCATTTGGTGCTCTCTCTTCATCCTTCACCTCTCTGCTAACATGCTGCCCTCACTGCCTAGATGGTTACATCTCGGATGCCCATTTGGTGCTCTGTCTTCATCCTTCACCTCTCTGCTAACATGCTGCCCTCACTGCCTAGATGGTTACATCTCGGATGTCCATGTGGTGCTCTCTCTTCATCCTTCACCTCTCTGCTAACATGCTGCCCTCACTGCCTAGATGGTTTCATCTCGGATGTGCATGTGGTGTTCTGTCTTCATCCTTCGCCTCTCTGCTAACATGCTGCCCTCACTGCCTAGATGGTTACATCTCGGATGTCCATGTGGTGCTCTCTCTTCATCCTTCACCTCTCTGCTAACATGATGCCCTCACTGCCTAGTTGGTTACATCTCGGATGTCCATGTGGTGCTCTCTCTTCATCCTTCACCTCTCTGCTAACATGCTGCCCTCACTGCCTGGATGGTTACATCTCGGATGTCCATGTGGTGTTCTGTCTTCATCCTTCACCTCTCTGCTAACATGCTGCCCTCACTGCCTAGATTGTTTCATCTCGGATGTGCATGTGGTGTTCTGTCTTCATCCTTCGCCTCTCTGCTAACATGTCATCTTCTACTGAGGCTCCCATCCCTTCCACTCTCTTACACTGCTGTGTTTTTTCCTATAGCACTTTTCATCACCTGGCACATGTATTTGTTTCTCGTCTGTGTCCCTTGTCTACAGAATAAACTTCCTCAGTGTAGAGTGTTCTGTTTACTGCTGGAGTCTCTGCTGCCTAGAATAATATCTGACACAGTGGATGTGCAATAAATATTTGTTTAATAAATGAATGAATATATTCTAGAGCTATTTGTACAAGGCAGAGATTTCCAGATCACAGTGTTCATATGTATAACATACAATCCTGTAATGTTTCTAATTTGCTATGGTATGGAATAGCATTTACCATATATAGCTTAGGTTTGTAGGCTTTATCTTTTAGAAATCCTTAATTCTTAGACTTCTCACTCATTTATTTATTTTTGATAAATATTCCTGTATCTGCTCTGTACCTGGTACTATTTCTAGGTACTGCTGAAAAGTGGTTAACAAGCAGACAAGTGTTCTGCTTTTAAGTTGATACTTGAATGAAGAAGACTGAAATAAAGGAAGATACTAATAATTTCAACAAATGATAAAAAGCCATGAAAATCATCTTAGGAATAGAGATTGAAATGAGCTTGGGGCATTGCATTAAGTTGTTGGTAAGAAGGCCTTCAGAGGAGCTGAAAATGGAGAGGAGGAAGGGTTTCAGGCAGTGGAAAAGATGGCGCCAAGGTCCTGAGTAGGCTGTATTCTAGAACACAGAGAAAGTGGCAGTACATTTAGGGGAGGGAGCAGTGAGTGGGGAGAGCAGCGAGGACAGAGAGTGGAGGCATTTGAAGGCAGAAAGTAAATGGATTGTGTAGGCCATTGTATCAGGTTTATATTTTATTCCATTAGAAATGGGAAGCCAATGGAATGACATTTGATTTGTATTTTATAAAGATTTCTGGCTGCCTGTGAGTTGTTGTGTCAGAGAATTAATTTATTTTGGGTTCCTGTTAAGGTCCAACAGAGATATTTGAGTATAATACTTTGTTGCCATCCATAAAACTAAATATTTTCATTAAATGGAGTTTAGGAAAATCTTGATTAATGAGTAAACACCACCATGTATTGTGGACATGAAGTTAAAAACAAAAGGTAAATTAGTCTAAATATTTATACCATTATGTCCAATAAGAAATGAATAATGTTGAATATGAAGTTTTTAATATGAATTAGGGAATTACATTTTGAAATATTTTAGGATAGGAAAATGGGTAGATGATTAGAGATTCAGCTTTATGTATAAAGATAGTTGTATGTTCTCTTTAGGTTAGCAATGGCAAACACTTGATATAAGGACATCATAAGCAAAGCTGTAAGCCATTACCAAGCCTGAATTATTGACTTTATGAATGGTCTGTTTTCTACCTGTTCTCATTCTAACCAATTGTGGTCTTAGAGCTAGGCTAGAGACACCTCTGTAGATAGACTAGTATAATTCTTCTGGTTTAGGATCCACAATTGCTACCCTTTCTATTCCAGACACCATGCATTTCAAAATGCTTAGTTTTTCTTGAACTTGTTGAGAAGTCTGATGTGGTATAGAAGTTTCAGCAGTTCTAATATTTTCCAGTTTCGCACAGGCAAACATAATTTTCTGATTTTGTAAAATACCTCGTAGCAGTAAAATGAAATTTTTCTTATTCATTTCTTCTCTGCAGCATTACTTTTCTTTATTGCTTAATTCTCTTGTTTTTTTTTTTTTGTTTATTTGTTTCTTATCCAGTGATCTCTGGAACATGATTAAAAACTCATATAAACTTGGACCTTTTGGTCATTGAAGAGTCTTAGCATACTTTGACATTTTAGAAAAGAAAAACAGAATTGAAGGGGACACAAGGTACATTGGTTTATGGGATGTTCCTCAAACCCTTTCTCAAATATTTTGGATGTATTTCATTTCCTAACAAATATTTTTTTCCTATTTTGAGGCAGGAAGTGAGGATATGCCTGTTGACAGGCAGCCCCTTCTTCAGGAATTACATGTATCTGTATAATGTGTACAGGCATATGCATCTGTGTATACATAGCCAGATTTGTCATCATGGCCAGGAAATTACCCTTTAGCTCCTGCTGCAAGTTCTGCATTCTTCGTTACTTTTCTCATTGGCTGGTCCTGGTCTCAGGCTCCCTTCCAGTGGCTGCTTATTTTAGTAAATTTCACACACTTTCCCATCATTCGTTCACAGTAAGCCTGTGGCACGATGTGCATCATTTCCATTTTATAGATGGGGATAGGAATGATCAGAGAAGTTACTTTGTACAGTGTCTCCCCGATGGTAAATGATAGAGATGGGATTTGGGGAGACCTGGCTTTCTGACTCTAATGCACGCATCCTCCACTGGTACCTGTGTTGTTTCTCAATAACAGCTTGAGGAAATGAATGACAGAAAGTAAAATCTGCCTTTTAGCCCTGCAGAATGGGCTCCTCTGTGAGAACGTGGCTTCCATGAGAGGGGTGTCTTCCTTTGCCATCCCTACTTGTGCCATTGTTTCTCTCACAAGGCGGCTGTGTCCTGTTAGCACCCAGAATTAGGAAGTGTGGAAAATTAAAGCCATATTATCCTGTTAAAGTGTTTCAGGGAAATGGGATACTTTGATTTGCATGGAGGAAAATGCCAAGCCCATGTGTCACTTTTTGATTTGTTCACAGCAAAGCCAGAGCTTCTCTAGTGCAGTGCTCCCTTGTGAAGGCAAATGGTGCAGGGCCAGGCAGGCCCTTTTACGGGAAATGTCATCATTTTTATAGACCTGGCCCTTGACGTGGTCAGGTTTAGCAACTTACTTGGGACCACACAGGCAGTGGAGCTGGAGAAACAGCTGGCAACAAAGCCTCCTCCTTCCAGCCAAATGGTCTTTCCCTGAAACTATCTACCTTCCTCAGGAAACTAGTCTTTTAATAGCATCTACCCTCCACCAAGAACCTGGGCGGGAGGAGGAATAGAGGCATCCTTTGAGAGCCTCCTTCCCACTCAGTGTTTCCACTTGGAGAGCTGGGCGGCCTTGAGTCGCTTGGATGAGTCAGGGACATGAAGCGCTTTGCCTTATGGTGCGGGAGAGCCTCTGGCATCACCTCCTACTAAAGCCAGTAATGGGAACAGTTATCATAATGGATGTGTCAGTTTGCTAATGACATTATTTAATACTGACTTTATTCGTTCTTCACATAAGACATTATTGAAACTTAAATTGAGGAAGTTGCTTCTCCTAGGAAGGGTGTGGGACTGCTGCTGGACACAGAGGTTTAACTTGCAACCCTTTTACTAGTTAAAAGGCTTAAATTTTCACTGGCTTTTTGACAAGTATCCGTTTAGAATCAAGTCATCACCACCATTATCATTAGAATTGTCATGGCTCCTGTCTAATGCACTCCAGCTGTTAGGCTAGTAAGCTTGAAGATAAAGGTATGCTTTGGACACATTCTGCTTTGATAAAAATCTTGATCACCCCAAGAGTCCCTAATTTGAAGTCAGAGTCACAAAGATTGGTGTTCTGCAGCTTTCCTCTTGGTAACAGAGTGTACTTTTGTTTAACTTTTTTTCCTGTGTTTTTTAACCAACATCTCTGAGCACCTATTACTACCTTGCTTGACAGTTAAGACAGCAACCTTTAAAAGTTAATGTGGTCTGTCCTGAACTGTCCAGAACTAGGCAAGAGGTAAAGAAACCACAAGCAAACCTGAGGCATGATCTGCAGTTTATTTGAATTTGTTTTGGATTCTATGTTTACTGTAGGCATCAAACACTGTAGAAAAAAACATAAGAAAACAGTTCTAGAGACCTGCTATGGTAGATTTCAGGAGTGCCTTCTGTACTTAGCAACAGTGAACTTTTTAAGTGCTTCCAAGTAGACTTGTGCCTTGTGACCCACACTATTACTACATTTTGGTAAAAGTAAACTCTTTCTGGTCTTGGCACCAAAAGTAAAACTTGTAGAGTCTAATTAAGGTTGTGTGCATAGCACTAGGTGTTTATCAGTGCAGTGAGGGAAATAAACCACCAGGTGGCTCAAGTATATAGCATCTGCGTGTTTTAGTCCTTGATAATTATAGTTTTGCAGTTGCTTTGTACTTCAGGGAGACCATTTAATATAAACCATTGTAATAATTTATCTAGTTTTTTACACAATCTTAGAATGCTAAAGTAGAAGATTGACTGTTTTGAACTGTTACTAATGTTTGTAAGTTTTTGGGCACAAACTTATGTTTTGCTTAATAAAATAAAAACTTAGACATTATTTGTGTTTTGGCTGAAATCAGTCCCCAATTGTCATCTTGGGATGTTATGATTATTTACTTATATATGTATATATTTATTTTGGCATATACTCTCCACAGTTGCAAATGAAATTAATAGATAGATGTTTAACTTCACTGTTGAAATTTAAACTGTCAGCATGATTTATTATTTATATATTTATTTTTATTAACTTTTTTTTTTTTTTTGGTAGAGACAAGGTCTTTCTTATGTTGCCCAGGGTGGTTTCAAACTCCTGGTATCAAGCCAGCCTTCTGGTTTGGCCTCCCAAAGAGCTGGGGTTATAGGCATGAGCTGCCATACCCAACCTTGTTGCCATGGTTTACATTGTCTTATTTTATACCTTCATTCTTTAGAAAAAAAGAAGGACACATAATACCTAAGAAATCAACATGTAATTTTTATGGACTTAATTATTTCCAAAGAAGGCTTTTAAAAACTTACTTTATCCCCTGAAAAGGAAGTTGCTTTGTAGCTTTCCACTTACATTAGGATAAAAAGAATAAAATGTCAAAGTATTTGCTTTACTTTAGAATATATATGCAGCAAAGTTCAAGAAAATTATCACAGTTCTCAGCAGACCAAGGCATAGCATCTCAGTTTTGGTTCTCATACTTTTTATATTTGAATCACAGAGTTCTTGGAATAGATTTTTTTTTTTTTGGCCTGATAGCCTTAAGGAATAATGGAAAATAAAACACTTCTTCAAAAATGTAACGTCTAATTTCCTATTTGTCTAGGTCTTTTTGCTTCAGAATTTTTGAACAGAATCATTAAGTACTATCGCTTCTACAGAAGAAGAAAAAGGAAAAGACAGTGAAATTCAAATCCGTTTTTTCTTTATACTAAGTCTGGTTAAAGCTTTTACTGGAGAAAAGATGCAAGCTTTTAAGCATGTGTTTTAAAATTACTATGATTTTACCCTTGCTAACTTCATGTGTGTATAATTACCTCAGAAAGGAAACAAAGATTTTTATTGATATTATTTAAAATAATGTTTTCTTTTTCTTTTTAGCAAAGTACAGGCTGATAATTCCAAAGGCTGTTTAAGGGGTAATTGTGGCTGACAGAGCAGCATTCACGGAACATCACTACTGTGCTTGGCTGGAACAGTGTCACTGTGTCTGAAAGTCTTGATAATGTTCAGTTGACTGTACTAATTGTCCTGTTTTATGCATGGCTAGCCAAGTGGTAACCAAGAGTTTTAAACAATGGATCTTTATTAAGGTATTAATTTTTGTCAAGGAAACTGACGTGATTTGAAAGAATGTTTACTGTGTGTGACACGTGTGGAAGAAATTGTTTGTGTTTTCCCCTCTTCCATGTTTAGGAAATAAAATAACCAAAAAGTGTGTGCGTGTAGCACTTTTTAACCTTAATTGTCTTTTATTTATATTGGTATCTTGATATAAAAATTGAAATTTGTTATAATGATAAAGAAATTAGAGATGTGAAACATGATTGATAAAGTAAGGAAGTAAAATTGGTAAAAATGCTTAAAGATATAATTTAGTGTTATAATACTTTTAGCTGAAATGTTTATTTATTGGGTTTAAACAACTATATATGTATGTGTGTATGTTTAAAATATATTCCATGAGGAATCGACCTTTAAGAATCATGAAGCATATTTTCCCCAACTTTCTTCACTCTTCTTTACAAGTCTTAATTTTTTGTATTGTGAATATTATAATGCCATTTCTCTCTGCTTTAATGTTCTTTTAAAGAACATTCAAAGATTACAGTGATTTAAAAAATTAACCTTGAACTCAAGAAGAACTCAATGGAGAATACAGAAGCACCTTAATCAATAGATGCCTTTTCCTCCCCTCACACACACACACAGTCCAAACTGCTGACAGAGCTGAGATTAAGCCAGGATTTCCTGAGGCATGGGAACTACCTAACTTGACTTACATCATGCTGAATTGAGAAAGACACATCATATTTATAATGCTTCTTTTTTTTTAAAAAAAAATAGCATTTTTGGCTGGACGCGGTGGCTCACGCCTGTAATCCAGCACTTTGGGAGGCCGAGCGGGTGGATCATGAGGTCAGGAGATGGAGACCATCCTGGCTAACATGGTGAAACCCCATCTCTACTAAAAATACAAAAAATTAGCTGGGCGTGGTGGTGGATGCCTGTAGTTCCACCTACTTGGGAGGCTGAGGCAGGAGAATGGCGTGAACCTGGGAGGTAGAGCTTGCAGTGAGCCGAGATCGCGCCACTGCACTCCAGCCTGGCAACAGAGCGAGACTCCATCTCAAAAAAAAAAAAAAAAAAAAAATAGCATTTTCACTAAGCTTCCACTATTCCAGGAATCCATCTGGCTATTTCATGTGTATTTGCCACCTTTACAATCCTAAAATGAAATTTGTGAATAACATATCCTAATTACACATGTTATTTAAAAAAATCCATATACCCTTTTTATGACAGTGAAAAAGGAAATGAAAAGCAAGTTGTTTGCCAGGAGAACTTGCATCTCAGTATTCAGATGTGGAGACCCTGCTGCCTAGGGTGTGGAGGAACTGCTCAGAGGCCACACTTTGGGAGCATCCCTGCTGTGGCAGCTGCAGATGCAGACTGTGGCACGTGGATGGCAGTGGAGACTCAGCAAGCACTGGTGGTGTGCTGTTGGTGTCATTGTTTCTTGAAATGGTCAAATTTGGTTAAATTTGGAATAAAATGGTAGTCTTCCTGTTTAACACATACTTTGTAACACATACGTTGTGCCTATGTAATAACTTGAGTGAGGTTTTACGCTCAGACAATTATAAACAGGTTTTTTACCCACGTGAATATTCAGCAGGACTTGAGGAAGTTGTGAGGAATGCAGAAGTCTTTGGCCGTGCAGACTGTCCTGGGTGTCTTAGGACCTCTAGTGTTCCTGGTTTCCACCCACTCAGTGCCAGTAGCATCCCCCAGTGATTGTGACAACTGAAACGTTCACAAATTCCCAAAACCCTCCTTAGGGATCCTGGGATGAGGGCTATCAGAGCCAATGGTTAAGCCCTAGCACATTTCTCTGCCACTTTCTGGAAATAGTGTTACAGGATCTTTGGGGTGTCATTTTTCTGGTTGGAAAGCTGTGGCCAGTGGTGTCTTTGTCCAACTTTTGTTTGGGCCTGCTGGGCTTGTTCCTCCCACTTGGCCTGGCAGGCTGCACTTAGCTCATGGTACCGGCCTGGATCCCACACCTCCAAGGGAGACTGAGTCAGGCGTGGACTGGCAAGACGTGTGTGAGTGAGTGCGGGGTTGGGCTACTGCACAGTCAGACATGCTGGCTGCTGCTGTGGGGCTGTCAGCTCTAGGTGCCAGCATGGGCACTGGCTCTCTGTGAGGCTGCGGCTGGACCAGGTGCACTGCAGACAGCTTCCCCAGCTGGCACCAAGGAATGCAATGGCTCCCAGAAGCTTGGAGATGCCAGGAACCATGGGGCCCCAAAGAAGGAGTCACAGCCCTGGCTTGGGGAGCTCCCAGGTCAGGGCTCCTTGAAGGACCACAGCTGTTCTCCCCTCTTCACCTGCAATTTGATGAGTGAGGAGCATGTTTCAGCCCTGTGTGTGTTACAGCTCTTTTAGCCTTGCCATTTAGTGGGTCCTGAGTTCTTGTCTTGTGACCAGGAAGACTGAGGTACGCAGACAAGTGGAGGGTGAGCAAGGCAAAGAGGAGCTTTATTGAGTAATAGAACAGCTCAGAGAAGACCCACAGTGGGCAGCTCCTCTCCATAGCCAGGGTGTCCCGATGAGTGTTCAGCTCCTAGCAGAGAGGGTAGCTCCTCTCTGCAGCTGGTCATCCCAACAAGTGTTCAGCTGTCAGCAGAGAGGGTAGCTCCTGTAGTCTGCAGCTGTCGGCACAGAGGAGGCCCTAGAGTGGGTGGCTTCTCTCTGTAGGCAGCTTGTCCCATTGTCTCTGCAGCTCTTAGCAGAGAGAGTAGCTCCTCTCTGCATCTGGTCATCTCATCTTCTCCCCATCCCCTGCCCTGCTCTAGCTGAGCCCGGGGCTTTTATGGGCCTCAGAGTGGAGGAAGTGTGTGCCAGTTGGTCCATGGGTGGTCATGGGCAGGCCCAGAAAAGTCACCATAAGCCTGCAGTGTGGTCTGTGGGACTGGTGGCCTGGCTCCCAGCCTTCATGCCCTCCCTGGCCTGAAGGTGGGGTCTCACCAGGGACCTACCCCCTTCCACCCCGGAGCCTGTCTGCTTCCTGCCATGGTCTGTGGTACCCAGGCTGCTCATCCATGGGGTACCTGCAGGCCAGCATCAAGCTGCTCTCAGTGTCCCCCTAGGTTCCACATCCCATGCTTGTCAGCACACAGAGTCTGGAGGGAGCTGAGGTGGCAGGACCCTCACATACCTGGCTGGGCTGTGACAGCTCCCCGGCTTGGCCCCAACCCCATTCGGAGATCATAGCAGGTGCCTGGAGCGGGGAGAGGCCAGACAGTGGAGGTAGGCACCTCCGAGCCTGCAAGGGCAAGGCGGGGGCCTTCCAGGGCCCCCAAGAGTGCAGAGAGGCCCGGGTCCACAGCCCCACCTGGGCGGCTGCAGATGTGTCTGGGAGGGCAGGGCTGGTGCCTGCTCCTGGCTCCCGGTTCCATGAAGCGGGAAGTCCCAGCTGTGCCCCCTTGCAGCCTGGGGGCTCTAGGTCCTTGCTGGGCCTGGGCTGGTGTCCAGGGACATCACTGTGAGCTCCCCCGTGGCCCCCGCACTCAGGGGCAGCCTAGAGCTCCCCCTCATCCCGCTTGCGGCCCTTCCCCAGGGGGTGCCTCCAGGAGCGGATAGCGGGTCGGGAGTGTCAGGCCCGGTGGTCACCCCATGCGGGGCGGACCCCTGGGGACATGGCTGTGGGTGGCCCTGTGCAGAGTCCTCTCTGGGGGCGCAAGAACACGGCACCCTTGGTGCAGTGGGCGTGGTGACCGCACCACTGGCTGGGTCCCTGTAGTGGGCACTGCTCCCATTTCCCCCTCCCGCCCTGGGTCCCCCAGTGCTGCCTCCTCCTGGTGCCCTCCCCGCAGCAGTTGTGGGTGAGAGTGGTGGTGTGGGGCTAGGGTCCGGAGCCACTGATGTTCCAGGCCTGGGAGCGGGTCCTGCCTGGCCACATGAGGGTGGGGGCAGCACAGTTTGCTGCCTTGGGGACACGGGGCACAGGGGACCCACCTTTGCCATTGCTGCTCCTGCAGCCGCTCCTGCTGCCGCCTCCCGCCACCACCCACGCCTCCCCTGCCGTGGACAGCCCCCTGCTGCCATCAATAGGACTGTTAAGAACCTTCTTTGTGATAGGCAGTGATAGGTGCTGCCAAGTGGAGGATGGTGCCACTGGTTTCCTTCCCCAAGAGAGTGCAGTCTTTTTTGCAAAAAAACATGTGCTGTGTCAGGGAGGGTGAGGTAACTTGGCCGCTGGTGGAATCCAGAAAAAAGTATTCTCTCCCAAATTGTGGCAGCCTCTTGGGGTCCTGTCCGAGAGGACACTGACCTCAGGAAACACTGGGTGGGAATTCTAGTTCTTCCCCCATGAGAAGTGAGACCTTGAGCAAAAACATGACTTGTCTGAGCCTTGGTGTTTTTATCTGTAGAAGTGAGGATCATGAGATTACTTACAGAGCAGAATAACTGTGAGAATTAAATGAGAAATTTTATGTGAATTTCACAGTATATTATAGTGAGTGCATAAAAGGTTTCCTTTTACTATTTTTTTAAACAAAAGTGAGAAAACAAGCAATCAAAATGGGGTTAGGGTTAGTCATACTAAACTATATTTGCTTTTATTAGAAACGTTTAAAAAATAAAATTCCCATAGTTTGCAATGTCAGGTTCCCATTCCACATTTGCTCTTTTTTCCCTGATGTGGTTATTTTCAGAAATAAAATATAAAATAAAAGCATTTTGTACTTTATTAAAAGTTGAAGGTTGAATGTTTTCCGTTGGCTGAGCTGCCTTCCTGAGCTTAATGATCTCACCTTGATGGGGTGGAAAAGGAGATGGGAGTAGTGAAAGGACTTGGAGCCAGGAGTCTATAAAAGGTTCACATTTGATACCACGAGTTACCCCATAATCTCACTGCGCTCCATTATTAAAACAGAAACGCTCTTACTACACATTGTTACCAACCCAGTAGTCCTGGAGTCATGAGTTATCTTGGTCACTTTAAGTTTGAGCAGAATTGATCTCTGTGTTGTAGTAGTTGTTACTTTGCCGACCTAGACCATCAGTTATGTAGTAGCATATCAAAGCCATTCCCCAGAACGGGTAGAATACAGACTGAGAAGTAATTATTTTCAAATGTGAGAGTGTGCTTCCAATCCTCCAGAGCAGTGTACTAGTTTCACATTCTGCAAATGTCCCTTCCCCCAGAAAAATGCTCTGGATGTATATTCAGAACTATGAAGGCAGGAGATTATGAAGTGCAGAGTGAGCAGAGCACAGAGGGCAGTGGCTCCCACCCTGGGCTTCTAAATCATAGGATTCCTGGGCCCCATCCCAGATTTACTTAGGATTTCTTAGGGTGGGACTTTTGGGGGAGGACAGGTTCCCCAGCTGATTCTGATGGTCATATGGATTTGGGAATCACCATTATGGACTGAAAAATTAACCCTCCGCATATAAGATTCTCCTGCATCTCCAGTTGTCCATTTGATATCTCTAAATCTCTCCCTAAATCTGAAAGTCACCACAGGTAAAACAACCCATCTGCACCCCTGACGGTCTCCTTCCTCTCAACCTACTCCTACCTCTGTTGTTTGCTTGGCTAACCTCCCTGTAACCCAGACTCAAAACACCAGTTGCCTTTGAACAGTTTTCTGCTCCCTTTTTTCCCTCAGACCAGTCACCGTGTGTTCTGTCTCTTTCATTTTTCTTATCTATCCTTGTCCCTTTCCTGTCCATGTTTTTATTAACCCTCACTTGGTATTTTGCAGTCTCATTGGTTTTACTGGATTCAGTGTTCTCCACCAGTTCATATAACTATGAAATTTGTTTTCTTAGAGCAGCCTTCTGATACTGAGTTCAGCTCTTCAGCCAAGTGTTCTAGCTTTGTGACACGGTCACCCCAGTTCTCTCTCTTCTATGTATGGCAAGCTTTGGCCATAGTGGGCTGTTGAGTGTTCTCTTACCTTACCCTGCTGATCTTTCTCCAGGGCCCACCTTGTTGTTTCTGGGTATGGCAGCCTCTTCCACGTCCTCACCTGTGGCTCTCCCACCATTCCTTATAACCCAGCTCAAATTTCATGCACTTAGAAGGCCTCATGGTTCCTCCTTTGCAACATGTGCCCTCGCCTGCCTCGCAGTCTTCTGTTGTATGTTATAATCAGTCAGTTATTGGCTTATCATTATGATGGGACAGTAAATTCCTTGAGAATCAAGACTTGTCATCTTGATATCCTGACACTTAGTGAGGAACCTAACCATTGTCGATGAAGCAATAACTTGAAATCTTTAGAAGTGAAATTACCTGGAACATACTTCATTGCTGCAAAGAGTACGAATTAAAACCTCTTAACTACTTTTTCCTACTTCAGTAATGAATCCCCGTCCATATCAAAATAGCATTTTTTCCCTTTGGCTCTCAAGGGGAGAGATGGATTAGTGACCAGCATATGATAGTTTCAGACATCCCAGATGAGGCAGCTGGGGAGACTAAAAGAAGGTTGCTGATACTGTTTTTATAGGCAGTGCTAAATTACCTTTGGTTTTGGAATTAAGGTGTTGAATAAGAAAGCTAAAATTATTTTTTGGCCATTGATGCATTTCAGCTAAATTGGACTTTGTGTCTGAGGAGACATTTCTGAGCATTTGGGTAAAATAACCGGATTTGTACTCCAGCTGTCTCCAGAGCAGGAGCCTCTGTGTGTGCTTCTTGATGCTTTGAGTCCCCCTCCTCGGTGGGCATGTTGCCCCCAGTGATGCAGCAGGTTGTCAGCCTGAATTGAGAACCAGCCTGCATGTGTATGGAATTGACTTGTCAGTTATTAACAGACCTGGGTTAGTGTGCTAATCATTACCATCCTAAGCTGAATGCTCTGCAAGGAGGCTGAAGGCTTGACTGTTCTCCTTTCCTAGGCAAATTACTTGTGGATATTGTTTCCTAGGATTTTAGAGGCAAGAATTGAATAGTGATTCTGAAACGAGAGTGGTGGTTTGAATCCACAATTTCCTGTTCTTTAGAAATTTTATTGAAGCCCTTTTTAAATAACAGTCTCCTTGAATAAAATAATTTCAGTGTGAAAACCTTTCTTCATTTTCTCCTAATGTGGATGCTATTTTTCTATTGTCTGTTGCAGTAAAAGAAAGGCAGACAAAAGTCACAGCCTAGGGTTTAAGTCTTTACTGTTCTACTCGTTTGATGTGTCATCTTAAGCAAAGCTTTCTCAAATTTAAACCTTAATGTTCTTTTCTGGAAAGTAGGCAGAGTGATGGTGGCACCACTCTCATAGGATAGGATCTCATGGTGGATTAAGTGAAATGAGGCATAGCAAGCACTGTATCTCTCAATGTAAATTTTTTCTAAATAGAACACTGTGAGGAGGCATTTTTGTGTTTCTTCCATTTTGCATTTTGTCTCAGAGCTCACTACTTCTCTAAGGAGTAGTTTAGGTCTGCTTGGATGAGAGTCAAGCTTGTGACATGACTGTTGGTGCCATAGGTAAACCAAACTGAGAGAAATATGAACATTTGCTGGTGATAAAAGAAGGAAACGTACTTCCCACAGGTCTTGTAGGCCACTGTGACTTCATCCCAGACCAGTGGGGTAGAAGTGAAGTAGAATCTGAAGACAGGTAGGGGCCACTCCTTGGCCTGAGACAGGAACGCTTTACCTGCACACCAGCCTGAGACATCTTCCTGCCTCAGTGCAGAAAGGACCAGCTGAAGCCAACTTACTCATCCATTTCTTTTGTGAACTTTGCTGATGAATGAAGAATATCTCTGTCATTGTAAAATTCATACAATATACACAATATAGAGGAAAATAGGAAATACGATTGACTAAAGAGCAAGAATCATTTAGGATGTTTTAATGATCTGGTAAAGTTTTTACATTTATTGTTTTTAAACATAGAGAATCACTAATGTTTAATAGTAGACTTTTTATCGAAAGTATAAAGCTTATCCACATGCATAATTATAAATATGAAATATATGTACACGTATATATACTATTTGTGCAATGTGGCAAATCCAAATACAGACTTCTTTTAGGCACCCGTTTTAAACTCCAACAGTGAGAGAATTAGTACATAACCACTCAGTAATTTCAGTTCTTCACCTTGATTAGTCAGATCCTCCTAAGCGAAACTGTGTAGGTGGTTGTGTGGTTTTTAGTACTTGCTTGACAGAATGGATTTTTTTTCTCTAAATTAATAAATATACCTAAACAATGGTCTTCAGTGTGTATTAGAGCAAATGCTTGAAGGCAGCTGGAAGGGACATCAAATACAGAGATGAAGTTCTTTTAGCATGTTTAATTTATTATGGAAAGGCTAGCGAACACATTGTTTCTGCAGAAGTAACTGTAGGGGCTTGTTATAGATTCCTCTTTCATCCAGGTTGATTCAGATATTCAAGTGTATTAATGGAAATCTTTAAATAGTGCCCTTTGCCTTATTTTGGGAATCAGCTAAGTTGAGTAGGTAGACTTATGCCAGATTTCATTAATTGGTATTTTTGCTAATTTTAAGGGATACTTAAAAATATCCCCTGATTACAGTAACATAAACATCTGAAGTGATTTTTGAATTGCTACACAAACAGTATTCTATTAACATTGTACATTAAAACATTGCAGCGGTCCGCATAGGCTGTGGAAATGAGTAGATTTCATTTTCCTACATTCCCTTTATGTTTCTGTTTGTACACTTGGTTTTTACATGGCAAATTTCATTGGTTCCTAGTGCCAGTTTGGCTTCATTAGAACCACCTGGCAACTCTGTTCACTACAGTTTGGGTGACTTGAAGCCTAGCCAAGTTTGGGACTCATTGGTAAGAACATTGTATTTAATATAAGAATTTAATAAATATATGTTAACTTATTTTTTGAGAATTATTACTAAACGCGTGGTTCTCAGTTTTCTCATTTGTAAAATGGGAATAATAACAATCTGCAGAGTTTTGGGGGAGATAATGAGTTGATTGAATGACAGTGGAAGGAATGTGAGCATATTCTAGAAACTCAGGGTGCAGCCCCAGCCTTACTACATAGACGAGGCTGATGTGTTCTGAATGGGGACCTTATTTTAATCACAAGCTGATGAGGCTTCAGGAAATTGGGTTATGGATTTGTTAGGTTTAACATTATCTTGGCCCTAGGGTGGCAGTATTTAGGCATTGATTACATCTTGGGTGGCTCTTTTAACTGCTCATCTGAGACATGTGGGTGAAGGAACTTGCACACAGGGTGGAATGACACAGGGCAGCCTTGGTACACATCTGGGCAGTTTAGCTGTGGAAAATGAGTAAAATGGCTGTAACTGTATTTATTGTTGTTGGCTCCAGACACTCGTTGAAGATGTTTAACTCTTCCACATTGTTGGATCCTCAGAGTTGGTATCTCAATGTGTACCAATTTAGAAGTAATTATTTTGATTAAAATATTTGGTTGGTGTACAATACAAAGAATACGTAATGTAAAGTGCAGTAGTTTTGAGGAAGAAATGGTGGTGTACATGAGAGTCAGAAGTACCACATTGGATCAGATGCATGCCAATATGCTGCAGCTGGCGGTGACCACAGGCATGTTTTGTAGGAGGATGTTGTTGTTGATATCAACTTTGAAAAAACTTAAGTTTGTTCAGTAATTGTATCCCAGCTTTCATTTCTTCCTCCCTGATTAGGATGCATTTGGCATACTTCACTGCTTAGCTAAGTGCTGAAGATTTTTCAGAACTCAGGAAAAACCGTGGAGTCAAATCTAAGTTTAAAGCTGGCTTTGCCTTGTCGGCTTGACCAATAGCCTATCCTCCCTGGGCCTCCACCATAGAACGTGAGCCCTGTGAGTGCAGGGATCTTGTCTGTTTTGTTGATCGCTTCAATTCCAGTGCCTAAAACAGTGTCTGGTACAGATCAACACATAAATGAATAGCGACTCTAGAGTGTGGCAAGTATTGTGAAAGGAATTAGCTTGGTGGCACACTGGAGCAATGTCACAGTCTTATCTGCTGACAGTTGTGTGCTGATTACAATGGTTCCCAATGGTATAAACACAGAAAACAAGAGACTTTTATGGTAATATGATAGATTTTTTGACTGTTAATGCTGATAATGAGAATTTTGGGCTTGTATTTTATATGTTTTTAAAGTTACATTTTTAAAAGAAAATTTTTTATTGAATTTTTACAAAAGTTTTATGACAGATTGACAATGAAAAACAATGGGTCCTTCATCACAGATAGTTTGGGAAGCACCGTGCTAGAGAGTGACAGGGAATGATAGCTATGTAGGTCCGGGCAGCCTCTCTGAGCTGAGATTTGAACTGAAATCTAAAGTCATCAGAGAGGACCTTTCTAGGCAGAACAAATAGAAGTGCAAAGACCTCAAAGTAGCAAAAAGCCTAGTTAGTGTGTTCAAGGGATGGAAAGAGGCCAGGAGTATAATGAGGAAGAGAATCGTTAAGAGAGGTGGGGGGAAGGTAGGCAAGGGCCAGATCTTCTAGGGGCTTAATTGACTTGGTCATGAGTTTTAGTTTTATTCTTAGTGCCAGTTGTTGAGTGGAAGTGGTGTCTCACGTGTGGTTTGAGATCACTTTTGCTGCATATGGATTTTAGGGAGCCAATAGTGAAAGAAAATATACCTATTAAGAGGCTATTACAGTAGTCAGGCGAGAGATGTTGGAGGATTGGATAAAAGTGTGGGCAGAGAAAATGGAGAGAAGTTGACCGCCTGTATGATACAGGCATACCTCTGAGATATTGTAGATTTGGTTCCAGACCACTGTGATCCCAAAGTGAATATGACAATAAAATGAGTCACATGAATATGTAAGTTATATATAACTTATGCATATACAAGTTATATATAACTTATGCATATATAAGTTATGTTGTGCATATATGTTATGTTGACACTGTACTGTAGTCTATTAAGTGTACAGTAGCATTATATCTAAAAAATGTACATAACTAAAGTATATCTTATGCTAAAGAATGCCAGTGATCATCTGAACCTTCAGTGAGTTGTAATCTATTTGCTAGTAGAGGGTATTGCCTCCCTTTTAGTGGCTGCTGACTGATCAGGGTGGTGGTTGCTGAAGGTTGGGGTGGCTGTGGCAATTTCTTACAATAAGACAATAATAAAGTTTGCCACATTGGTTGACTCCTCCTTTCACAAAAGATTTCTCTGTGCCATTCAGCTGTTTGCTAACATTTTACTCACTGTAGAACTTCTTTAAAAAAGGGAATCAATCTTCTCAAACCCTGCTGCTGCTAAATTTATCAACTAAGTTTATGTAATACTCTTTGTTGCTATTTCAACAATGTTCATAGCATCTTCACCAGGAGTAGATTTGATCTCAACAGACTACTTTCTTTGCTTATCTATAAGAAGCAACTCCTCAGCCATTCAAGTTTTATCATGATATTGCAGCAATTCAGTCCTATCTTCAGGCTGCACTTCTGTGGTTCTTCCTCCATGGCAGTCTTGACCCTCTCAAAGTCATCCATGAGGATTGGAATCAACTTCTTCCAAACTTATGTTAATAAGTTCCAAACTTATGTTAATGTTGCTATTTTGACCCTTTTCCATGAATCATGAATCTAGAATGGTGAATCCCTATCTAGAAGATTTTCATTCCATTAGATGAATCACTTGCTGTGGCAGGTATAGCCTAAGAAAAATGCATTTCTTAAATAATAAGACTGAAAGTTGAAATTACTCCTTGATCCATGGGCTGCAGAATGGATGTTGTGTTAGCAGGCATGAAAACAACATATTAACCTCCTTGTACATCTCCATCAGAGCTCTTGGGTAACTAGGTACATTGTCAGTGAACAGTAATGATTTGCAAATAATCTTTTGTCTGGGCGTGGTGGCTCACACCTGTAATCCCAGCACTTTGGGAGGCTGAGGCAGGCAGATCGTTTGAGCCCAGGAGCTTGAGACCAACCTGGGGAACATGGCGAAACCCTGTCTCTACAAAAAAATACAAAAATTAGCCTGGCATGGTGATGCATACCCTATAGTCCCAGTTACTCGGGAAGCTGAGGTGGGAGGATGACTTGAGCCCGCGAGGTAGAGGATGCAGTGAGTTTAGATTGCACCACTGTACTCTGGCCTGGGCAACACAGTGATACTCTGTCTCAAAGACAAGTAAATCTTTTGAGCAATAGGTCTCAATAGTGTGCTTAAAATATTCAGTAAACCAATTTGTAAACAGATGTGCTGTCATCCAGGCTTTGTTGTTTCATTTATAGCACAGAAACATAATAGATTTAACAAAATTCTTAAGGGCCTTATAATTTTTGGAATTGCAAATAAACACTGGCTCACATAAGTCAGCTGATTAGTCCCAAACAAGAGAGTCAGCCTGTCAGTTGAAGCTGTGAAGATAGGCATTGACATCTCTGCAGCTATGAAAGTCCCAGATGACGTCTTCTTCCAATAGAAGACTGTTTTGTCTACATTGAGAATCTGTTGTTTAGTGTAACCACCCTCACTAATTATGTTGGCTAGATATTCTGGCTGACTTGTAGCTTCTCTATCAGCACTTGCTGCTTCAGCTTACACTTTCATGTTATGGAGATAGTTTTTTCACTTTGGCCCCATGAACCAACCTGTGCTAGCTTCCAGCTTTTCTTCTGCAATTTCCTCACCTCTCTCAACCATCATATAATAGAATTGAAGAGAGTTAGAGCCTTGCTCTGGATTAGGCTTTGGCTTAAGGCACTGTTGTTACTAGTTTGATCTTCCATTCAGATCACTAGAACTTTATCCACATCAGCAGTAAGGCTGTTTCACTTTCTTATCATTTGTATGTACACTGGAGTAGTACTTTTAATTTTCTCCAAGAACTTTTCATGTGCATTCACAGCTAAGCTAACTGTTTGGTGCAAGAGGCTACCTTTCAGCCGGTCTTGACTTTGGACATGTCTTTCTCCCTAAGCTTAATCATTTCTAGCTTTTTATTTAAAGTGAGAGATGTGTGACTGTTCCTTTCACTTGAACACATGGAGGTCATTGCTGGGTTATTAGTTGGTCTAATTTCAATGTTGTTTTTCTAAGGAAGGGGGAGGCCTGAGGAGAGGGAAGAGGGAGGAGAGTCAGTTGGTGGAGCAGTCAGAACACACATGACATTTTCCGATTACATTTACCATTTTGTATGGGCTTGGTTTGTGGTCCTGGTTCCCCTAAACAATTACAGTGGTAACAAAGATGACTGATCACAGACCACCACAACTGACATAATAATAATGAAAAAGTTTGAAATACTGTGAGAATTATCAAAGTGTAAAATAGTGACATGGAGCAAGCACATGCTATTGGAAAAATGTATGACACAGGATTGCCACAAGCCTTCAGTTTATTAAAAAAAAGCAGTGTCTGGGAATTGCAATAAAACGTAGCACAGCAAAACAAGATATGGCTGTAATTTGAAATAGAATTGGTAGGATTTGCCGATGGATTGGATTTTGTGAGTAAAGGGAGGAGTTAAGAATGAATCCTAAGTGTTTTGATCATTTGGGTGAATACAGATGCCATCTGTCGAGCAGAGACACTTTTTGAGGAGAGAGGTAGGTGGGAATTAGGAATTGAGAGGTATTAGTTATATTCCTTGCTGCTGTGTACCTTTTTAATGAATTCTGTTAAACATGG